>NC_000021.9:45468816-45622712 GCF_000001405.40 Homo sapiens
TGGAGCAGCTGGGATGGGGTGGGGTGGGGGTGGCCACTGGGACAGGGACGGAGCTGTGGCCGGAAGAGGAGAGCCCCCACCCCAGCTGTGGTCAGCCCGGGCCTCCAGCGCAGGCCTCCTGGGTTCTTGGCTGCTCAGCCCTGGCCTCCGGCGCAGGCCTCCCGGGTTCTTGGCCGGCCTGGCTGGGGTGGCATTCACTTTCTTGGCTCTCTGGCTCCTGCGCCCCCAGGAAGGGTAGCCCTGGGCTTCCATGGTTTCTCTGAGACCCCGAGGCCCAGCCCAGGAGGGCCCTCTTTGAACGACTTTGTAACTAGACATCCACCCCAGCCGTGACCCCGTGACCCAGAGACACCCCCAGGCCTGTGCCAAGCCCTGTGGTGAAGTGGGGCTCCCGGCCTCTGACCGGCCGGTCGGGTAAGTGGGGACCGAGTCCAGGCCCAGCCACACGCCTCGTGGCCCCATGCAGAATGAAAGCTGGGGTCCTTGTTGAAAACGATGAACGATCCAAAGCTGGCGGCAGCAGGGTGTTGATCCCAGCAGGGTTCTCCTGTGGTAGCTGCACACCCGCTGGGACCAGGGGCTCAGGGCGGCCCTGCAGGTCAGCACCTTTAACAAAGGGTGCAGCAACCCACGCCTGTGAGACTCCACTTTGGAGCACGTGGTGGGAGTCCCCCAGCGGTGAACGCACGTGGCCGCCTCCACCTGAGTCTCCGGGAAGTCCCTCCAGTGGGCCTTCATTTCTTGGGGTTGGGGGGGTGGACAGATCCCTAAACCCATGTGGGGTCTGTGTCCAAAGCCCCTGCATTTCTGGGAACCTTTGGCTGGGAACAGCCACGTGGGTGACCTCAGCTGGCACTGTCTCACAAGTCCCTGAATTCTAGCATTCAAGCTGGCCTGCAGCTGGACGCCCCTGCCCTGGCGGGCCGCAGGGGACAGAAGGTTAATTATTGCCCAGACAAGGGCTGTTTGTTTGAAGTTGTTCTAAGTCCTGGTGTCTGGGGGTTCTGAAAGCTGACTTTTCACCTTTGGCAGGAACTTTTAACCCTCAGAGCTCAGGAGCCGCTAGGACGTTGACACCAAACTGGGCCTCTTTGTTTTCCTCTTGATCACAAACATGATTACCGGGAAAGAAGTCAGAGTCACCCCCTCCAGTGAGAGGCAATTTGTTGTGTGAGTCCCCAGCCGTTTCTTGGTGGAATAAAGTGGCCCACAAGTGCCGTACATCTTTAACACTGTTAGGAAAAGCGGCTGAGTGCCGAGAGCTCGGTACGTGGGTGCACAGCTGTGCCCCGATGGTGCTAGGGAGAGCCGGGCCACCGCCCTGCGGTGAGGGCCTCCTCATCAGCGAAGTCCCGTGTGTAGGAAGAGGGGGTCTGGGTGTTTAATTTTGCATTTCTTGGACTGTGAAGATAGACTTTCATTTTGTCACTTGTTTATTGTCTGTTTGTATTTCTTCCTTTGTGACTGACCGGTTTATGTTCTTTGTGGTTTTCAATGGGCCCAACTCTCAGTGATTTATACAAACTCCTTATCTTTAAAAGAAACTTCTCTTTGGTTTTGCATGCTGCAGATTTTATTTCTACCATGTCATTTGCCTTTTTACCTTGTCTTTTTTTTTTTTTTTTTTTTTGACTATTGGGATTGGATGTGTGGTTTTTTTGTGGGTTTTTTTTTTGTTTTTTTTTTTTTAGATGGAATCTCGCTCTGTTGCTCAGGCTGGAGTGCAATGGGGTGATCTCGGCTCACTGCAACCTCTGCCTCCCAGGTTCATGCGATTCTTCTGCCTCAGCCTCCCAAGTAGCTGGGATTACAGGCACCTGCCACCATGCCTAGCTAATTTTTGTATTTTTAGTAGAGACGGGGTTTCACCATATTGGTCAGGCTGGTCTCGAACTCCCGACCTCAGGTGATCCACCCGCCTAAGCCTCTCAAAGTGCTGGGATTACAGGCGTGAGCCACTGCACCCAGCTGGGATTTGATGTGTTTATGTGGTTAAATCTGGCCTGGAGAAGACACCATGACTTACAACAGCCCAGTGAAACCTTGGAAGGTCAGAGAGCTGGAACAGGAGGGAGCTAGAGGGCCCTGGGTCTGGCCCTGGGCTGGGGCCCTGCTGGGCGTGGGTGGCGTGCAGCAGGCCGTGTGCTGCTGGGCGTGGGTGGCGCGCTACAGGCTTCGTGCTGCTGGGCCTGGGTGGCGTGCTACGGGCTTGTGCTGCTGGGTGTGGGTGGCGCGCTACGGGCCTTGTGCTGCTGGGCCTGGGTGGCGCGCTACGGGCCGTGTGCTGCTGGGCCTGGGTGGCGCACTACGGGCCTTGTGCTGCTGGGCGTGGGTGGCGTGCAGCAGGCCGTGTGCTGCTGGGCGTGGGTGGCGCGCTATGGGCCGTGTGCTGAGGGCTGTGTTGGTTGATCTCTGTGTCAGGTCCCTGCAGGCCTCAGGTGTCAGGAACTTTCTCTTTGGGTCTTAGATGAGATTCCAGCTGGGGAGAGGAGAAGCATGCTTGTGTGGTAGAAAAGAAGACAGACTTGTTCAGCACAAGATTTTCTCAGACTTCTGAATTGAGATACTTGGGAAAGAAACATTCAAGTTGTGTGACTCATAATTTTTGGCAGAAACAAGCACAGAGCTTTGGGAGCAGGGAGGAAACCGAGGCTTCCTCCTCCTCAGCCTCTCCACAAGACTGCATCGACCCTGGCGCTGCCACAGATGGTGCCTGGGACCCCCGGCCGCAGCTGGGTCCAACAGAGCCCTCCGGAGCATTGGTTGTGTTCCTCGTCCTAAGAGTCCTTGGGCGTTGTTGGTCTTTTCAGGTTCACTTTCTTGAGTCAGGTTTGTCAGTGGTCGTCTCCCGGGAAATCATGCACCCCTCCCAGCTGCTGCCGTTGCCTTGAACGTCATTTCCAGCTGTGTCCTGATTTCCAGCTGTGTCCTGATTTCCAGCTGTGTCCTGATTTCCAGGGCGCTGAGGCTGCAGCGTGTCGGGAAGCATTTTACATGCTCTTCCCTCACAGAATTCCTGTGAGCTCTGTTTCAGGTGTCTCCGGATTTCATAACTTTCAGTCCGAAGTCCCTTAAATATTTACAATGGGCCTGTGGCTTTTGCACTAGCGCCTCCTGCCCCACCCCCGGAGCCAGCGGCCACCACGGGCTCAGAGCTTCTCTGCCCTCTGTAGTCGCCCCCCACCCAGGCACCCTGTAGCCCCGTGCAGGAGGCGTCGGCCCCTCGGGGGCACTCTCAGGAGAGCGCTGTGGCCACCTGTGGGGGGGTCAGGGCCTCACGGGCCTCTCTGGACAGTGCATGTCTGTGTGGGGATCGGGTGTCAGGAATGCCCAGTCCCTCCCCGACACCAAGACCACCCAAGATGCACCCCCCGCCCGGGCTGCCCCAGTGGAGAAGCGCAGTTTTTTTTTTTTGTTTTTTTTTTGAGACGGAGTCTCGCTCTGTCGCCCAGGCTGGAGTGCAGTGGCACGATTGCGGCTCACTGCAAGCTCTGCCTCCCGGGTTCACGCCATTCTCCTGCCTCAGCCTCCCAAGTAGCTGGGACTACAGGCGCCCGCCACCAGGCCAGGCTGATTTTTTGTATTATTAGTAGAGACGGGGTTTCCCCATGGTCTCAATCTCCTGACCTTGTGATCCACCCGCCTCGGCCTTCCAAAGTGCTGGGATTACAGGCGTGAGCCACTGCGCCCGGCCGAAGCGCAGTTTTCTAGAATTCAACCCCAGCTCCTCCCTGGGCCTGACCTGGGGGCTCCTGAATGTGAAGGCTCAGCTGCTGGGCTGCTGCCCCACCCCCACGCAGTAGGTCCTGGTGGACAGTGGACCCTGGACCCCACGGTGCTGCCCCTGGCCGACCTGGGGGCACTGTAGGCAACGCCCTCCCCCGCAGTGTGACGCTGAGAGCCGCTGGTGCGCTCTGTGAGGCTGAGAACCGCTGGTGCGTTTTGTGGGAAACCTGTGGGAAACCCAGGGGGCCCACAGGGTCCACACCCCCCCACGCATGAGCTCACACGCGTGCATACGTGATCTCATGTTTGCACACATGTGTCCATGCAGATGCATGCTCTCACGCACATGTGCCCACACACTCAGCACTCACACCCCGTCCTGCAGGCTCAGCCCCACTCCTGAGCCACCTGCCTGGGCTTTGGGGGCCCAGCCGGCATGGGGAGCCCCAGGCTCCAGCTGGCCTCGCTTGGCTCTGAAATCTAGGCCAGGATGCAGAACCCGCAGTGCGGCCAGTGGAGCCCCTGGTACTGTGCGCAGCCCCCACCTGGCAGCCCCTTTTCCTGTCAAAGCCCCTCCCAGCGTCCTCTCCCCACCAGGCAAGCTACCCGCTTGAGGCTTAGGACGTTGCGCCCTCCTGTGTCCTTGCCCAGCATCCCCGGCCTGCATCTCACCAGGCACCGCCGGCCGCGCCAGGGCCCGAGAGGGCAGGGTCAGGCACCCTGGCACTCAGCCCAGGACTGAAGATGCCAGAGGGAGCGGTGGGTAGGTGGGTGAGTGAGTGAGATTGGGTCCGGACGGAATGGGCGCAGAGATCCAGGAAACTCCCCTACATCTGCGGCGTTTCTGTCCTTGGCTTCTGGGTTTTGTTTTTGATGAAAAGGTGAAGTTCAAAGAAAGCAAAGCCATGGTGCCACCTCGGTTGGTCCGAGTCGGGAGATGAGGCCGCCTGGTGCTTGCGTAAAGCTCCCGGGACTTGGGGTTGGGGGACTTGACCTGCAGCCCCTCGAATCTGCCCGCCCTCCCAGGCCTTGGATCGAGCCACACCTGCTGTGGTTCTAAACCCGTAGCCCTCAGGTGGCCCATCAGCTGCCTCAGATGAGCCAAGTCTGAGGGAGCAGCCTCCGCCCAGCCGGGTGCTTTCCACATGAAAGCGCCCAGGACGCCCCTGGGTCTCACCACTTCTTCCTACCATGAGGCATACCGCACCCCCAGGGAGGCTGCCCGAGACCCCTTCCCTCTCCGAGACTCTCCTGCCCTTTGTGGGCCCCCCGAAATCTGGAGCTCAAGCAGCACCGGGGTTGCCACTGCCACCTCAGGACCGCTGGTGACCCCTTTCTCTGTCTGCATTTAGGGGGTGATCGCTGAGCTGAAGGTGCGCAGGGACCCCCAGGTGAGCCCCATGCACTGCCTGGACGAGGAAGGCGATGACTCAGATGGGGTGAGTGACATCTGGGGCACGGGTGGGGTCTCCCCTCAATCCCTGGCACGCGGAGTTCAGGGCCAAGGTCTATGACAGGAAAAGTCCCAAAATATACCACTTGGGGCACTGGGAAGCTGCGATACCATTTCTGTGCTCTCCTGTAGCACCTCAGAGCCCTTCCTTGCCCTGAACTTTCCCATAAAAACAAATACAAAGCATGATATAAACACCAGAAACCACCCTCCATGGCAGCTGGTGAGACAGAGGATGTGAGGCAGCTCAGCAAAGTGTGTGTGTGTGTCTGTGTCTGTGTGGTGTGTCTCTGTGTCTTGTGTGGTGTGTCTCTGTGGTGTGTCTGTCTTGTGTGTTGTGTGTGGATGTGTGTGTGTCTGTGTGGTGTGTCTGTCTTGTGTGTTGTGTGTGTTGTATGTGTGTCTCTGGTGTGTCTGTCTTGTGTGTCGTGTGTGTCTGTGGTGTGTCTCTGTGTGTAGTGTGTCTCTGTGTGTGGTGTGTCTCTGTGTGTGTGGTGTGTCTCTGTGGTGTGTCTGTCTTGTGTGTTGTGTCTGCATGTCTGCATGGTGCGTGTGTCTCTGTGTCTGTGTCTGTGTGTTGTGTGGCGTGTGTGTTGGTGGGGTGTGTGGAATCACGTGGTACCCAAGGGGAGAATCCCCCAGCCCCAGGTGTGAGGAACAGCAGGGAATTCTCACTCAGGGGCCCAGATCACAACATGCCCCACGTGAACATGGACCCACAGCCTCGCTCCTGGGGGCGTGGGCAGGAGACGCCGTGGACGTGGACCCACAGCCTCGCTCCTGGGGGCGTGGGCAGGAGACACCGTGGCTGGACTGTGGGCAGTGTGTGAACATCCATGTTACTTTCATGCTTTTTCTTTATTTTGCCCAATAAGCCCGTTGTTTTTGCCTGGAACATGCCAGAAGACGCCAGATCGTTCACATGGCGGCCATGACAAGGCTGCGCCCTGGGACAGCTTGCTGGGTGCGGGGGGTCGCCGAGGCGCCGCACCCCTCCCCTGGCCTGTCTTGCCCTCAGGGGTCAGTAGCGGTCCCTGAGGATGTTTCTCCTCCGGGTTTTCCTGAAGTTTAAAACATCCAGCCGCCTTGGCGCGTGTTCGGCCCAGCCGGGCGTGCGCTGGGGAAACCTGTGCGGGGAGCATCTGCGGTGCGGCCTCCTCCAGGGCAGGGCTCTGGCCAGAAGAGAGGAGCGCGTTCCCCCTCCCGCCTCCGCATGTCTGACCACCGGCCGAGGCAGGTTCAGAAGCGTCACTGTCCTCGACCCGATTGGACACGACTTACTGAAGCTCAGATGGTGCCTGGGCAGGGAAGGCCAGCGTGCCCACCCCAGCGGCCCCCCGGAGAGCACCAGAGAGGGCTGGACGAGGCGAGAGGGGGCCTGGAGGAGGCGAGAGCAGCGTCCTTTGCTTCCCAGGCCTGCCGGGCTCGGGGCCTGGCCTGGCTGCCATCTCTCCAGCCTTTCCCTTTTCAAACTCCTCAGGCATCCGGAGACTCTGGCAGCGGGCTCGGGGACGCCCGGGAGCTTCTCAGGGAGGAGACGGTGAGTAGCCGGACGGGGCCCAGCCCACGCTGCAGGGTCCCGGGAGAGCCCCTCCCAGCAGTGGGGTGACACATGTGCACACGCAGGTGTGGCTCCAAGAGCTCCCTCTATGCCACGAAGACATATTCCTGGCTGGGGACAGGGATGCTGGGCTGGGCAGACGCTCGGAGCCTGGGCACAGGCCCCGCTCCGGCCCTGCCTGGCCGCCGCGTGTCTCTGGTGAGAGGATATTCCTTTAAAACGAGGTCCTGCCCTGCACACTCCTTGGTCTTCGAGGCAACCTTGGCCTTCCCTTCGCCCCATCCCTCCGTTAGCTCGTGCGTGGCCATCAGGGAATGAACGCGTGTGTGAGCCTGACGACCAGGAGGAGAAGGCGGCGCAGGGAGCGCGCGGAAGGCTTTCCCCAGCTCGGGCCACCTGAGAAAACACAGGAGGGGCGGGGAGTGGGGAGGCCCCAGCCGCGGGACTGAGGCGCGGTGCTGTCCGTGAGAGACGGGTGCGGGAACGTGTTCCCTGCGGGGACCCTCTGCAGATTCACATCAGCTTCCCAGCATGGCCTGTCGGGCGCCGGGAGGCCTCTGTGGTGACGGCAGGCGCGGTCCTGGGTCCTGGGGAGCCGGGGAGCCCACAGGCGGCCACACCCCTGCGGCCCACGGAAGGAAGCCCCTCGCGCACGGCCCTGGAGCACCCTCCTGTTTCAGAGGATTTTTCTTTATCTTTCTTGCGATCTTAAGTATTTCATTTCACAAACCAAGCAAGTCTCCACCGGGCATCTGCCGGCCGAATAACAGGCCACCTCCCCTCTCGTCCTCCAGGGCGCGGCCCTAAAACCCAGGCTCCCCGCGCCACCCCCCGTCACCACGCCACCCTTGGCTGGAGGCAGCAGCACGGAAGATTCCAGAAGTGAAGAAGTCGAGGAGCAGACCACGGTGGCTTCGTTAGGAGGTAAGCTCTTTTCTGGATGTGGTGTGTGTGTGGTGTGGGGTGTGTGTGGTGTGTAACGTGTGTTTGTGTGATGGTGAGGTATGTGTGTGATGTATGGTGTGTGTAGTGTGTGGTGTATATGGTACATGTGTGTGTGATATGGCACGTGTTTGTGTGAAATATATGGCAGGTGTTTGATGTGTGGTGTGTGATGTGCATGTTTGTGACATGTGTGATGTTTATGTGATGTGTATGTAGTGTGTATGGTGCATGCATGTGGGCATGTGTGTGTGCAGTGTGTGGTGTGTGTATTGTGTGTGGTGTGGTGTGTGTGTTGCGTGTAGTGTACGTGTGTGGTGTGCAGTGCATGTTGTGTTGTATGTGATGTGTAGTGTGCGTATTGTGTGTATGTGTGTGATGTGCATGTGTAATGTACATGTGTGTGATGTGTATTATGTGTTTTGTGTGTGTGTGTGTGTGTGTGTGTGTGTGGCAGGTGGGGAGATGCCGAGGCCCGGATGGTGGCTCTGGGTACAGGCTCTGGGTGTTCACTGTGCTTCTCTTGCAGGATTTCTGTTGGTTTTCATTTTTATTTTAAGTAAAAGTTAAGAGGGAAAAAGGAAAAGGGACAAAGCATGCTGGGTGATAAGAAGGCATTCTGGGGGGCCAGGGTCTCTTGTAACAAATTCAGGAAGCATCTCCCAGACTTCAGCTGTCATTGGCTTAGATGGCCACACCGGCCTCACTGTTGATTTTAAATTCTGTCTCCCTGTTGCCTTTGCCTGGGAGCTGGAGCTCAGGGGAGTGCGGCCTGAGGCTGGGGATCTGACAGTGTCCAGCCGGGCTCCAGGACTGAAAGCGTTTGGGCTGCCGGGGCCGTCTGGGGTGCCGAGAGCAGAGCTGGGGCCACCCGGGGGGCGTGACCGTGGCCACCTCTGCTTCTCTTCCCAGCTCAGACACTTCCTGGCTCAGATTCTGTCTCCACGTGGGACGGGAGTGTCCGGACCCCTGGGGGCCGCGTGAAAGAGGTAAGGCCACCTCCCTGTGCTCCTGAACCATTCTGAACCAGAGCACCTGTGGCCTTTTGGGCCACTCACTGGTGAGCCCTGATGAAGCCCCTCTGTGCCCGTGCCTCCTTTGTGCCCAGCACTCGGTGCCAGCATGCGTCCACCCTGCGTGTCCACTGTGGGAAGCAGCCCAGCCTGGGACTCTGGAGGGCGCAGCGGGACACGTGGGCAGGGTGTGTGGGGCCCCACCCCAGCCCGAGCCCTGTGTTCTGTTTATTCCCAGGGCGGCCTGAAGGGGCAGAAAGGGGAGCCAGGTGTTCCGGGCCCACCTGGCCGGGCAGGCCCCCCAGGATCCCCATGCCTACCTGGTCCCCCGGGTCTCCCGTGCCCAGTGAGTCCCCTGGGTCCTGCAGGCCCAGCGTTGCAAACTGTCCCCGGACCACAAGGACCCCCAGGGCCTCCGGGGAGGGACGGCACCCCTGGAAGGGACGGCGAGCCGGTGAGTCCTCACGTCCCCCCGAGTCCGGCCCGGTCTGGAGGGTGGGGGCTTGGGTAGGAGGGGGAGAGGCTGCGGCCGACATGGGAGTGAGCTGAGCTGGGATCGGGGCAGGTCAGCAGCCTCCTTAGGCCCACCGTTGCTCGGGGTTGGTGCTGGAAGGTGGTCAGACGTGGGAGGCGGAGCTGCTCAGACACAGCCCTTGTGGGTGTGAGGAGGCTCCTGGCGCGGGTGCGAGGACATCGGGGGAAGGCGTCTGCCGCCTCGTGGGGACTTGGAGCGTGGGGTGCATTTCCATGTAGACACTGTAGGTGGCGCCGGAGGAGTCATTTCCCATCACTAATGGCTTCTCTTGCACACCCAGGGCGACCCCGGTGAAGACGGAAAGCCGGTGAGTCTGCTTTTCTTTCTGACCCCTGTGTTATCTGTGATGTTTGCTTAGACCCCAGGGCTTTGTTGCCAGTGACACTCTTTTTAAACGCGACCCAGTGAGGAGACTGTACAGCAAAACCATTTTGAAAGTGGAATTTTGTAAAGAAAAGATGAGTGTAACTGTTGATGGGAAATAGCAGTTATGCATTTGTGTTGAGACATTTGGGCCACAACTACCATGAAGAAGGAAAGGAAGTGAGAAAAGGCAGAGCTTCCAAACCCTTAGAGGGAAGACGCACAGCAAAGAAAAAGGAAGTCGGGCGGGGCAGGGGGTGGTGCAAGTCGGCGGGGGAGGGAAGCACGGGGCGACCTGAGACTCTGTGAAGTCCGAGCTTCGTCGCAAAACACGCAGTTCAGTCTTTAAAAATCAGCAAACACCGTTTCCAAGCACAGTAATGACGTGATCGACTGCGAATAAAGACCTGGGAACAGCCTGCCCAGCAAATGGTAACACTCGGCAGAAAGTGGGGCCGTCACGAACGCTGGACAGGAGGGTTCAAGTTAAAAACAGTCTAGAAGGTCTGAAAGGACAGGGAGGGCATCTCATGGTGCCCACCGAACGGTCATTACCGACCGCCTGGCACCCCACAGCCAAGCTGCCTGCGATGAGGACCACGGCAGACAAAGGACAGTCGGCTGGGGGGCGGCACGGGGCCCACCCACTGCAACAGGGTACACGCACGCGTGTGAGTGTGGGGTGATGATCCACGGGGCCCACCCACAGGGCACACACACGTGTGTATGTATGTGCATGTGTTTGAGTGTGTGAATGTGTGACTGCGCGTGTGTGTGGGGGGGTGAGGATCCACACGTACACATACCACACATGCACACACAGCACATATCACACACCACACATTACACACCACACGTGGACACATGCACACACATTACACACATGTGTGCACACACCACACATTACACCACACGTGGATACACTTGCATACACACACTACACACACGTGTGTGCACACACACCACAGGTGGACGCATGCACACATGCTACACGCACGTGCACACATCACACGTGGACACATGCACACACACCACACATTACACATACCACACGTGGATACACACATACACATACCACGTGTGCACACATGTGCACACCATGGATTATGCACACCATACATGCACACTCACACATCACACATACATATCACACATGTACACACCACACTCCTCACACACACACCATGCATACCACACACACACACACATGTATGTAACACCCAAGCACCAGCTGTTGTGGAGGCCTTCGGGGAACCTGCTGTGACCTCCCGAGGGATGCTGCCCGCAGCTTCCCCCAGGCGTGGCTGGCGAAATGGGCTCAGGCGGGAGACAGTCTGCTGGGCCTGGCGCCCTCGTACTTTCCGGGCCCCAGAGACTCCCCTGAAGGGCTCAGCTCCCGTCCGTCCCCTGCTTGGGGGAGGAGCACTGAGAGTGCTGGGTGCGGCCCATGGTGGTGCCTTCCCTGACCGGGCCCCCGGATGTTGTGTTCCAGGGCGACACCGGGCCACAAGGCTTCCCCGGGACTCCAGGGGACGTAGGTCCCAAGGGCGACAAGGTGAGTCTCCGTGGCTGGGTGGGGCCCCTTCCTGTGTTGGCCCTTGGCTCAAGGTGGGGGCTGTGTGCGTGCCCAGGGTATGATAGGCTTGTCTTGTGTTCCCAGGGAGACCCTGGGGTTGGAGAGAGAGGGCCCCCAGGACCCCAAGGGCCTCCAGGGCCCCCAGGACCCTCCTTCAGACACGACAAGCTGGTAAGTCCCGCCCTTGGCTTCCTGCGACCCGGGGTCTGCCCTCCTCAAAAGCAGGCACTGCCTCTGGCCCAGAAGTATCAGCTCCACCCTCAGGGGCTTGCGTGGGGTCTTGGCTGAGCTGAGGGGTCACAGGTGTGGTGGGAGCCCCCATCCACCTGCCTTCAGGCTTCTCTGGGGGCAGCAGAGGGGCCGTGGTTTCTCAGCTCCTTGTAGAAACAGCTCGATATGCAGCTTGCGGGGCAGGGGCCAGGAGTAGGCCAGGCGGGGGGCCGAGCTCAGGGCAACGTGTCTCTCCGGCTCTTTTCCTCAGACCTTCATTGACATGGAGGGATCTGGCTTCGGGGGCGATCTGGAGGCCCTGCGGGTGAGTGGCCCTTAAACTGCAGCGCTGCCCGATGTCTGTGCCCATGAGGAACAGGCCATGGACCCCCAAGATTCAGCTGGGGTCCTGTGGGGGGTGGGGATGAGGCCCGTTCTGGGGGTGGTGGTCATCCCTGGTGGGTGCCACATGGGCTGTGACTATCTGTGTTCGCCCACGTCCAGGGTCCTCGAGGCTTCCCTGGACCTCCCGGACCCCCCGGTGTCCCAGGCCTGCCCGGCGAGCCAGGCCGCTTTGGGGTGAACAGCTCCGACGTCCCAGGACCCGCCGGCCTTCCTGGTGTGCCTGGGCGCGAGGGTCCCCCCGGGTTTCCTGGCCTCCCGGTAAGTCCTGCCTCCACCGTCAGTGTCGGGAGCCCTGTCTGCTGGGAGTGAGGGGTGAACACCCCACATGGGAGCCCCTGCCCCGCCTCAGGCCTCCCCAGTCCCCGCCTCCTCACCTCATCTCCTCTAGGAGCTGGCGGGCAGTTGCTGACTCGGGGCCACCCTGGGGTGTGCGGAAGCACCTGAGTGGCCACCCCATGGTTCTAGGGGTGCTGACCAGTGGGGGTGACCGCAAGCAAGGCCTCCGACCTCTCTGGCCCTGTGGGTCCACGGACTGCACAGAGAGCGTCTCCATGAGCAATTCCCATGGGTGGGTGTGGGAGGGCCGAGGTCAGCATTGCTGGAGGGCCAGGGGAGGGAGGAGCCTGCTTGGCCAACGCGGCTCGTAGGGTCTCAGGTCCCCACGGCAGGCTCCCCACCAGCTCTGCCACACATGACGGGCAGCAGGTCATGACTGGCAGCAGGTGCCTGCCCCACCAGCTGTGCCACACATGATGGGCAGCAGGTCATGACTGGCAGCAGGTGCAGACGTGGCTGCTGTAATTGGGTCATGCTGCACTGGCATCCCGTGGCCTGGGGTCACTCGGTAGCATGCCATGACGTGCAGGGCAGGGAGTGTGGGGTTAGGTCACCCATGACATGCCCCTGCCTCCGTAACAGTCCCTACCTGAGCCAGCCAACCCTACCGATGGGCATTCACCGTCACCATCGGCTCTGAGGCCTCTCTGGGTGCCGCATGGCAAGTGCTCCCCAGAATCCATTCTGAGGGGAATTTGGGCTTAAAGAACATGCCTAATCCATATTCACGCATGTGGCCAGACTGCCTCTCAGAGGGAGCAGCGGCTACCCCAGCCCTGGTGTGCAAGCATCTTCCCGCCGTGGTGCTGTCGGCTCTGCCATCTCATCCTGCCAATGTGGCCGCGAAACTGCGGGCTACGCAGGCTGTGGGGTCTCCCGTGAGCCCTGGGACTCTGGCCCTGTGTCTGGGGAACGTTCTGTGTCCTGCCTTCTGGAAACCTGCGGAAGCCCAGATAACCTGTTAACCCAGAAATCGTTTTAGTGGCCGAATGCCATCAAGACCCACTATGCTCTGCTCTCCCCCAGGGACCCCCAGGCCCTCCGGGAAGAGAGGGGCCCCCAGGAAGGACTGGGCAGAAAGGCAGCCTGGTAAGTCTTCCCTCGAGTCCAGGGTGAGTGGGAACCAGCACCACACCATGTGGCCCGGGTCCGGGGGTGCCTGGTGACGCCCGTGAAGGGGAAATGCCAGGAATAGCCCCCCATCACAGCCCCACAGCCTGGGGCCTCGCGCTCTGGAGGTCACCCTGACCTGGGCGGCTGGGGCTTGGGTAGAAATTCATAACCCTGTGATGATGAGTGGACTCACGGGTTTTAAGAACATGGGCACCCTGCGAGATCTGAGATCTTACTCCAAGCTTCCACGTTGGTTACGGGGCAGTGGCCATGAGCCTCTGTCGGACTGACGCAAGGAGCCGGGGCCCCAGGCGTTTGTGGGTGGACCTGGCGGGAGTCGCCTGCGTCTGGCCCCCTGGGGAGCGGTCTCCAGCATGACCTCAGATGAGAGCTGCACTGCTTTGGACTGAGCAGGGGACGCGGGCTGTAAATGCCCCTCACTGCTCTAAGCCTGTGGCTGAGCTGAAGGGCCCTTCTTGGGGAGGCATCCAGGCCCCAGGCCCCACGTGTAGCCAGGTCCAGCATTGGGACCAGGCTTGGCGTCCCTTGTGGCTTCCCTTTCAGGACCCCAACCACACCAGAAAGGGGGGATGACAGCGGCAACAGCCTCAGAAACTATTAAACCGGCACAGGCAGCAAAGCAGGGACCCGGGTCGGGGCACAGTTCCTGGCAGGGCGATGTGCCTTCCTCTGTCCACTGTGCTGCAAGTCTGATTTTGTCATAATCCTGCTCTTTTCCGTACAGGGTGAAGCAGGCGCCCCAGGACATAAGGTACAAGCAGAATCCCTGGCACATCAGTCCCCTGCCCCTGGTGCCCACTCAGTGCTCGGACCCCCAAAGAGGGTGGCAGCCCCACGGTCGAGAGAGTGAGCTCTCTTGGGGCTGGCCTTGACCCCCACTCCTGCCATCTGTCCATCCGTCCTGCCGGAATCGCGGGCAGCAGCCTCTGTCACTCTGGCGAGGTGGCTTCGGCCCTTGTCACTTTTGTGATGTGGCTTCCGCCGAGCTCTGGTCTGCCGGTGAACTGAGAGTAGACGCGCCCTGGAAGCTGAGCTCATCTGGAAACAAGCTCCGTGTGGCAAGCGCGATAAAGCAGCTCCAGGAGCTTTGGGAGGAGGGGCTGGGCCACAGCAGGTGGAGAGGCTGCCCGTGGCCTGGGGAGGGCCCTGAGCTGGGCCCCCCAACATCCCCCCATAGGGGAGCCCCATCCACCCGTCCCGCAGGCTCATGAGCATCTGGGGGCACTCGGAAGGAGCGCTGAAGGCAGCCCGGGTGTCCTTGGCGGCCCTGGCCTGGCCCAGAGTCTGCTCAGACCCTCTGGACTCGGGGCAGCTGCTCTCCATGGACCCAGCCTTCCTTCGGGCAGCCTGAGGTCTGGGCCACAGCCTGCTTGACCAGACAATTTATCTGACACCCCCCCAACGACCCACTTCCTCCTTCTGTTCTGCGGAAATTGAGCTGGAGGAGGAGCTAGAACCCTGCAGAGGAGGGGCTGGGAGCCGGGTCTGGGCCTCCAGTCGGCATCTGTGCCGACCCCACCACAGACGCCCCCGGAGGTGCCCTCGAGGATCCAGGCTTCCGTGGGCCGCCCACTCGAATCATGTCCAAAACGTCAGGAGCTCCTCACCTTGGCTGGACGGGGTTGGCACTAACGGGGAACTTTCCCCAGAACATGGCCAAGCTCCAGGATGGGGGTGATGAGGGAAGGAAGGCCAGTGGGGAGAGGAGTGAGGAAGAGGACAGCTGCGAGTCAGGTGGTGAGAGCACTTGGAGAGGCTGAGAGGACATGGGCTGGGAGTGAATGCATGTGCACATACACACACACACCTCTCCAGCATATGTACACATGCACACACACACCTCTCCAGCATATGTACACATGCACACACACCTCTCCAGCATATGTACACATGCACACACACACCTCTCCAGCATATGTACACATGCACACACACCTCTCCAGCATATGTACACATGCACACACACACCTCTCCAGCATATGTACACACACACACACTTCTCCAGCATATGTACACACACACACCTCTCCAGCATATGTGCACACGCACACACACCTCTCCAGCGTATGTACACACACACCTCTCCAGCATATGTACACGCGCACACACCTCTCCAGCATATGTGCACACACACATAGGCACACACATCTCCAGCATATGTGCACACACACCTCTCCAGCATATGTGCACACACACACATAGGCACACACATCTCCAGCATATGTGCACACACACACCTCCAGCATACATGCACACACATGCACACACACATCTCCAGCATATGTGCGCACACACATACACGCACACACACATCTCCAGCATGTGTGTACACACACACACACCTCTCCAGCATATGTGAGCACACACACACCTCTCCAGCATGTGTGCACACACATGCACGCCTCTCCAGCATATGTGCACACACACACATGCACCTCTCCAGCATATGTGCACATACACATAGCCAGCACATGTGCACACAGCTCTCATGTATGTGCACGTGTATCTCTAGCATACATGCACACATGTATCTGGTGTATATGTGCAACACATGTATCTGGGGCATGTGCACACGCATCTCTTATGTGCACATACACACACATGTATCTAGGTATGTGCCCACGTTTTTCTAGCACACATGCACACACATCTCTCTAGCATATGTACACACACATGTATTTGTAGTGTGTGTGCACATCTGTGTCTCTAGTATGTGTGCATACACGTACACATGTAGGCTTTGAGTTAAGCAGGGGAGGAATATTTTGATCAACTTTAAAATCAGCAAAATTAGATATGCATGTATGAAAATAATGAAAGTTTTAAAAAAACAAAAATGTCAAGTAACATGAATGAGAATTCTAGAACCCTACAACCTAATTGTAAACCAAATAGAAAATGAAGAAAAAAGGGATGAAATTAGAAAGAGGTTTTCAACAAACCTTTTTTTGGAGACAGAGTCTCCGCAGTGGTGCAGTCTCAGCTCACTGCAATCTCTGCCTCCCGGTTTCAAGTGAGTCTCCTGCCTCAGCCTCCCGAGTAACTGGGACTACAGGCATCTGCCACCACACCTGGCTAATTTTTTTTTTTTTTTTTTTTTTTTTTTTTTTAGTAGAGGCAGGGTTTCGTCATGATGGCCAGGCTGGTCTCGAACTCCTGCCCTCAGGTGATCCACCTGCCTCGGCCTCCCAAAGTGCTGGGATTACAGGCGTGAGCCACCACACTCGGCCTAAACAAACTTTTTTATAGGCACTTTTTAAAGATCAAAAATTAGATGAGGCTGGACACGATGGCTCACACCTGTAATCCCAGCACTTTGGGAGGCTGAGGTGGGAGGATTATTTGAGTCCAGGAGTTCAAGGCTATAGTAAGCTACAATCATGCCACTGTGCTCTAGCCTGGGCAACAGAGCGAGACCCTGTGTCCAAAAAGAAAAAAAAATTAGATTTTTAAAGACGATAAAAGGATGCCAGGCACTAAGACAGATTAAAGCCAAGAAAGTAAAATCTAAGATTCTCATGAAGTTAGCCCTCAAGTTAAGTGGGTGGTACATGGTGCCCACCTGTTAAGACCCAGCGTAGCTGTTGGAGGGTGGCTGCAGTGGAGACCCAGACCTAGAAGGGAGGAGACAGGAGGCAGTCGAGGATCACCTTGGCGGGTGGAGGGCGGGGAAAGCTCTGGCTTGGAGGCCCAGCCCCTGTGGGGGACATGGGAAGCAGGAAGGACCCTTCCCCACAGAGGGGGTTTCCTTCCTCCAGCTGGGCCTGTGACCATATCAAGGCAGCGGGTCACATTCCTGCCCCATTTGTGGACAGTGCTGGGCTCACACTATCTCATTCCGCTCTGTCCCGAGCCTGGGAAGGAACCCTGGGCCTCTCCGTCTACAGCCACGGAAACCGAGGCTCAGGGAGCTTGTGGCTGCGAGGAGAGGGGTGGTTCAGCTGGGCCACGTCACAGCGGGACCCCTGCCTCAGGGCCTCCCTCCCTCACGCCCCCCACACCGGGCTCTCACCTCACACTCCAGGTGGCTGGGGCCTTGGGTCACCGATGGCTCCAGCACATGCCTCCGGGCTCGCCTGCTTCTCACGGCTTTCGGACTAATAGAGTCACCGCAATGCCTGTGTCTACCCTAGCCCCAGTGGTCCCAGGGTCCTGAGCCTCCTCTCCTCTCTCCTCTCTTCTCCCCTTGCCTGCCGGGGAGCCAGGGCTGGTCCCAGGGTCCTGAGCCTCCTCTCCTCTCTCCTCTCTTCTCCCCTCGCCTGCCGGGGAGCCAGGGCTGGTCCCAGGGTCCTGAGCCTCCTCTCCTCTCTCCTCTCTTCTCCCCTCGCCTGCCCGGGAGCCAGGGCTGGTCCCAGGGTCCTGAGCCTCCTCTCCTCTCTCCTCTCTTTTCCCCTCGCCTGCCCGGGAGCCAGGGCTGGTCCCAGGGTCCTGAGCCTCCTCTCCTCTCTCCTCTCTTCTCCCCTTGCCTGCCCGGGAGCCAGGGCTGGAGGTAACGAGGGTGCCCTGTGCACCTCCCGCTGTGCATGTGGGCCTCCCCCTGTGCATGTGGGCCCAACCCCGACCAAGTTCGGGCTCCGTGGCTCTCTCCTCAGTTGTGTTTCTGTGTGGCTGAAATCGTGTCGTAAAGTTAGAAGAAAGGCTGCTGTGGGGCCTGCGTTGCTTGGCAGAATGTTCCTTACCTTTTGATTTGCAGGGTTTAGAAAGCATCATAAGAAAACGTGTCTACGCTGGGGTTGCAGGGCCAGCGGGGGCTGGGCTGGGTCCTGACACGCTCTCCTCACCCCACGCAGGGGAGCAAGGGAGCCCCCGGTCCTGCTGGTGCTCGTGGGGAGAGCGGCCTGGCAGGAGCCCCCGGACCTGCTGGACCACCAGGCCCCCCTGGGCCCCCTGGGCCCCCAGGACCAGGACTCCCCGCTGGATTTGTGAGTACCGCCTACACCTGACCCCCTGGAGAGCCGGGGGCTGCCGTTGCCCCAGCCCTACTACCCCTGGCATCTCACTCACAGAGCAGCACGTCCTGGGCGGTGGCCTTGCTGGCACTGCCTCATCCTGGGATTCCATATTCCGCATGGTGGGGCTCGAGTCTCTCGCCCGTCGCCCGTGCCCCACGGTGCTGATGGGGATCTTGGCCCAGCCATGCCCCAGCACCCGTGCCCTGACCAAGAGCGAATGAGCTGACCCGAGACGGGCTGCCCCGGGGGGGCTCCACCCAGGCCCTGCCACCAGGTAGACAGTCCCCATCTGAGAACGGCGGCTCCCCAGGCCACCGTGGCCCCAAAGCATGTCCCACCCTCCTCTCGGGCAGTGCCACCCCAGGGAGGGGTCCTTCCCTAAGAAGGGACACAGGCCCCTACGTGTCTCGTGTGTCTCTTCCAGGATGACATGGAAGGCTCCGGGGGGCCCTTCTGGTCAACAGCCCGAAGCGCTGATGGGCCACAGGTAGTGTTGTGAGCTGGGCGTGGCCGGCTCTGAGGGGTAAGGGGGTGTTGCCTGGGGCAGGAGAGTGTCCCTGAGAGCCACCGGCCTTGCATGGGATCGGAAGCCGCCCTGCAGAGCCGTGAGGACCACGTGTGGCGGGCGCTGTGCCCCGCGGGCCACCCTTGTTCTTCGGAGATGCCCCTTCATTGAACTAAAGTCACGGGGTGAGGGCCTGGTCTGCAAAGTGGGAGACACTGTGAGTGGTCAAGACAAAGGAACACGGGGCCGCATGCCCCCTGAAAGGCCTTTCTGGGGAAATTCAAGTCATCACATTCTTTTTGTGGCCCCAATTTTTGGTAGTAACAAATGTTTGGCCTGAGTAGAATCTGAAATTCCTATGAAATCTCCACTTTCTTCTACTGTTAACATGTATACTGCTCAGGGTTAGAGCCAGCAAGGAGTGACCAAAATCCCAAAACAACTGTGCTCAGACAGCTCAGACGTGCCAGGGGCAGACCCAGGGGCCACAAGCTCCTTCCTCCCCTGCCCCCACTGTCCCCTCCACACCACCAGCGCTCTCGTGGCGCCAGCATGGAGGAGCCCCCGGGGCCACAGCCCTGCCCAAGAGACACGTGGGGTGGCTGAAGCCACAGCGTCCAGCTTCATGCTCAGAGACTCAGCCTGTTGAGAGCACGGGTGGCTGGGACACATTTCTTACTTGGAGCAAAACGAATGAGAAATTTCAATTAGGCAGAAACTAATTGATTCCATAGTAAGTTAGAATGGCTTTACCATTTTAACTTAGTACATTTCCTTTTACACACGTATTTTGAAGTCTTGACTGTTACTAGCGGGCTTTTCTTGCGGCAGACGCATCTCACAGCAGGGCCTCCAGCTGCACTAACACTGTGTCTCCTCTGCCCTGACAGGGACCTCCCGGCCTGCCGGGACTTAAGGTCAGTGACGGATATGTCTGGGTTTCTGTGGTTGCTGGCTTGGCCCTGTCTCGACATCTTGGGGCTGGGGGAGACAGGGCCTTGCCTCGGGTTTTCTGATGGCAGGAGTAGGATGAATTCATCCTGGGAAGTTTGCAAAATACAGCAAAAAAGCCTGACAGGGAAATAATCGCACACCAACCCCAACCTAGACTTCCAGCGTTAAGGGGCCATTGTCCCGTTCTCTCTCCGAAGCCCAGGAATCAAGATTCCTGGGTTCACACACCTGAAGCATATTCTCAGACTTGGGCCGAAAAGAGGGGCATAGGGGAAGAACTCAGGGTCCCCACCTCAGCCTCAGGGACAGGTGGACTCCTGGGCTCAGGGACAGAGCCGTGGTGACCTTGTAGGACCCAGGAGCTTTGTCCTCTGCTCCCCCCATCCCTGGGGGACACTAGCCCCCAGCCTGGCCCCGAAGACCCCACCCCACCCAGGCCCCGAAGCTCCCAGGGCAGGTGCCTGAGCAGGGAGCCTGGAGCCTCCTCTCCTAGGCCCTGGGCAGCAGCCGCCTTTCACCCCGCTGCGTGCTCATCAAAGCGTCCTCTGCTGCGTGCGGGGCCAAGGGCGCACGGGGCCCACCCTGGGGCTGCACTCTCACGCGTCACCAGCCCCTGCCATGGCACCTGCTCCTTTGAGCTTTGCTTTCATTTGCAAGACATCGGGACACTCAAAAGGCTGACTTATGGGAAGGGCCGTGTGTTTGCTTTCTTAAATTGTTTGAATGAGGCCGTCTCAGCGGGGTTCCTCTTGCAGTCTGCAGTCCTAGTGATGGAATATGTCCCCAGGTTCCGCAGCCGTCCCGGCCGGGTGCCTTCAGCCAGCCTGGGCCCACGGGGTCCCTGCACAAGTTGCTCAGTGTCCCTGGGACCCCTCGGCTCTGGGCTGGGGGAGGGCGGTGAGATGCATCCTGGGTAACTCACCCTTCCCTTCACCCGGGGTGGACGCTGCCTGAGGACTGGGCTGGCCCCAGCAGGTGCTCACGGAGCCCCTTTTTTCACTTAGGGGGATCCTGGCGTGCCTGGGCTGCCGGGGGCGAAGGTAAGCGCTGTGCCCGGGTTCAGGGACGTGGCCAGGCAGAGGCAGGGAGGGCCCAGCCGGACACCTGCGGAGATCAGCTCGGGGCGGCCTTCCCCGCTCTTCCTGCCACTGCTTTGTTTCTTTATAATTGAAGACGTGCTGGTTTCAAAGGCAACCCCCAGGATACCCACCTGCAGGGCACCCAACCCCAGGGCACCCCCAGGTTTGACTGCGTCAGGAACATGGCCTTCCTCCCTCCCGGCTGTCTGGCTGTGCAGGCCCCGTCGGCCCCTGCCACCGGCCTCCCGCCTCTCCCTCCTTTTCCCCGACTTCCCCCTCCCCCACACTGCCTCCCCCACTTGCCCCTCCCCCACACCTCCTCCCCGACTTCCCCCTCCCCCACTTCCACCTGCCCCACACCTCCTCCCCGACTTCCCCCTCCCCCACTTCCCCCTGCCCCACACCTCCTCCCCCACACCCTCCCCCACTTCCCCGTCCCCCACACCTCCTCCCCCACACCCTCCCCCACTTCCCCGTCCCCCACACCTCCTCCCCCACTCCCCCCGACTCCCCCCTCCCCCCGACTCCCCCCTCCCCCTGACTCCCCCCTCCCCCACTCCTCCATCCCTCCACAGCCCCTGCTCAGGCCCACAGGGGTGAGAGAGAGAAGTCCAGGCCATCGCCACGTCCACGGGTGCCCCGGACTCCTCGTGGGGGTCCCTGCATTCCTGGGCGTGTGGCCAATGCCCTGCGTCCTCCATGTGACCCTTTCAGGGAGAAGTTGGAGCAGATGGAGTCCCCGGGTTCCCCGGCCTCCCTGGCAGAGAGGGCATTGCTGGGCCCCAGGTGAGTTGCCTTGGTGGGCCCAGGGTGCAGGGGGGGCGTGGAGCCCTGAAGGGACTATGCTAAGATGAAAGCTGGCACGAGATGTGCCCTCCCGGGTCCCTGGGTCTCCATGTGCCCTCGTGGGTCCCTGGGCCTCCGTGTGCCCTCCCGGGTCTCTGGGCCTCCGTGTGCCCACTCCCGGGTCTCTGGGCCTCCGTGTGCCCTCCTGGGTCTCCGTGTGCCCTCTCAGGTCCCTGGGCCTCCGTGTGCCCTCCCGGGTCCCTGGGCCTTCGTGTGCCCTCCCAGGTCTCTGGGCCTCCGTGTGCCCACTCCCGGAGCGCCAGGAGTTAAGTATAAGTCTCCGTCAGGGCTCTTGGTGGCTGCCTCCCTCCCAGGCCCCAGCCGGTCGGGAAATAAAGAACCCCACATCTTCATCAGAGCCATCCCTCACGGGGGGCCAGGGGCTCCTGTTTCTGTTGGTGATGAACCATTTCCTTCCTGTCTCTCCAGGGGCCAAAGGGAGACAGAGGCAGCCGGGGAGAAAAGGTGAGTGTCCCTGGGGCGGGTGGATGGGGATGGGGGGCGCTGGGACATCCCAGAAGGTTTGGCCTCAGCTGCCCCAGGTCCGTGCCCCTGCTGCCCATGTGACCTCAGAGACTCAGGGCAAAGACCCTCAAGTTGACAGGGGTGGCTTTCAGGCTGGGGGCAGCGTGTGTGGCTCAACCGTCCCTGTTGGAGCCTGCCCTGCCTGGCAGGGGGCTCCAAGGCCACAGTCCACAGCCCCGGGCGCCTCCTCACCCACCGTGGGCTCTGGGCACCCCCTCCAGGGCTGGGTGGACTCTGGGGTCCTGGCCAGAGCGGTTGAGATGAAATGCCGGACGCGTGGCCTCCTCTTCCAGGGAGATCCAGGGAAGGACGGAGTCGGGCAGCCGGGCCTCCCTGGCCCCCCCGGACCCCCGGGACCTGTGGTCTACGTGTCGGAGCAGGACGTAAGGACGCTGCGTGGGTGGGCACCCAATCTGTCCAGACCCCCCACGGGGTGCAGAGATCCCTCCCCGAGCCCCCCCCACACCCCCACATCCCCCAGGTCAGGACAGGCCCTGACTGCCAGTCTACACTCCACCTCCTCGGTGGGGGCTGCAGACGCCCTCGGTCAGAGACGCCTGGGGAGCCCAGCTCCATGTGGTGTTGGAGACACCGAGGAGAGGGGAGGGCCTGCACAGGGGCCAGTGTTTTTACGTCAAAGGCTCCCATTGGGCTCACTCCCTGTGTCCTTGACACTGTGGCCCCAAAGCTGCATGTAGTCACCCAGCTGCCCCGTCAGAAGAAGCAGATGCACCCTTGGCCCCTCTGGTGAAGGTTGTGTTGGTTCCGGAACCTTCCTCCCCCACTGCGGCCCGTCCATCAGGCCTCTCAGCTGCACCCTCTGCGCCTGCCAGCAGTGCATCCCACTGGTCCCTGTGCCACCCTGGCCTCACAGAGGCAGACGCATCTCCGCCCAGCCACATGGAACACAGGGACCAAGCCCCACTCTGGGCAGGGAGCTGAGCCCTGGGCAGATGCAGGGCCCAGGGCAGCAGAGCTGGGTGTGGCCAGGGGTTCAGATCCCTGCAGAGTTCTCTGTGGCCACCAGTGGAAGGGGGGCTGCCCGGGGCAGAGCTGAGAGCAGGCACCGTCAGCTGTGTGACACTGGACAAGTTACCTAACCCTTGTGCTCCAGCTCCCCACCTAGGAGGTGGGACTCTAACAGTCTTGAGAGGAGGGGTGGAGTTGGGAACAGGCAGGAGAGGGCTTGCCCCAGCACGGCTTTGCTAGGAGCAGGCAGACAGGCATCGGGAGGCAGGGGCAGCCCGAGAGGCCACAGGGACCTCGGCGTGACGGTCAAGACATCAGAACATCAGAAAAGCCTCCCGTAGGCCGAGCCACCTCCGCCGGCAAGCAAGGGAGCGTCTAGCAGAGGCAGGAGCATTTTAAAACAAAATGGAAGTAAAAACCATGGCCCTTAGGGCGTCTGGAGTCTGCATCCAGCTGCTCTGAGCTGAGGGGCGTCTGTGCTGCAGGAGGGATGCCCCAGGCCCAGGAAGACTGGAAAGCAACATTTTCCTTGAATTTCCTGGTTTGGTGTTTTGTTGATCTGTAAGTCGCTCGAGTCCAGTTGAATTTTAAACGCGGCTCTTTGTTTCCGATTTTTCCTTTTGCTCGTGGACAGGGATCCGTCCTGAGCGTGCCGGGACCTGAGGTATGTGCCTGCCCAGCTTCTAAGAGACGGGCCTGCGGGGACCTGGGTACAAGGCTGGGTGGGGTCCGGGCAGGCGCGAGGGTGCGTGATGACCCCAGCTGACGCCGTCCCTCTTTCCCCAGGGCCGGCCGGGTTTCGCAGGCTTTCCCGTGAGTAACCTGGTGCCAGAGCTGCATGCTGCCCGGCTGGGGAGGGGTCTCCACCTGGTAGCACAGAGCAGCCCGGTCGAGCTGGGGTGGGCCTTGTCAGGCCCGAGGGATAGCGACAGTCACTGCCCCCAAGGAAATGATGGGAGTGGGATGTGGGCGAGAGCCGCTGGCAGGCCCTGTGCTGGGTGGGCACCCGTGAGGGTGAGGCAGCTCCTTGCACCTGCAGAGGCCTGCAGTGTCCAGAGTGAGGCTGGGGCCGGGAGGTGTCCTGGTGGGGGTCACCTGCGGAGGCCTGCAGTGTCCAGAGTGAGGCTGGGGCCGCGAGGGGCCCTGGTCGGGCTGTCGAGGCAGGCATATTGCGGGGGGCAGCTGTCGGGGGAGATGGAGCAGCCGTCGGGGATGGGGGAGATGCCAGCCGCTCGGGCCTCACGGCCTGGCCTCCATTCCAGGGACCTGCAGGACCCAAGGGCAACCTGGGCTCTAAGGGCGAACGAGGCTCCCCGGGACCCAAGGTAAGGGGCTCAGGTGCTGTCCCTCAACCCCCTTTGTGACCCAGGGGTGGCTCCAGCCTGCCCAGATGACCACTGTTGGGAGGGACCTGGGACCCCCCGGCTGCTGCTGTGACACGTGAGGGGTACATCCCTGCTCGGGCCGTCCCTGTGGTCACCTCCCGTGAAAGGACCCAGCCTGCGAGGCCCAGTCACAGCGGCCCTGCCTTCGGGGCTCTGGGTGAGGCTTTGTGGGGAAGGAGCTGGCCCTGACTCTGCTGGACCTCCTGCCATTCCAGGGTGAGAAGGGTGAACCGGGCAGCATCTTCAGCCCCGACGGCGGTGCCCTGGGCCCTGCCCAGAAAGGAGCCAAGGTGAGGGCCGGGCAGCCTCCTTCCGGCAGGCGTGGGGGCTCCTGGGGCTGTGGAGACAGCCTGGGGAGGGTCTTCCTGAGGGTCTGGCTCCTGATGCACGAGCCTCTCCCAAGCAGGGCTCTACCATCCAGGCCTGGCCCTGGTGGCCCCTCCTTTCTCGCACCCATGTCGGCGGTTCCGCCGGCCCCTCGTCCTCTCCCTGCCCCTCGTCCTCTCCCTACCCCTGAGCCCACCCTGCTGAGGGGAGGTTCTCAGTGGGCTGCAGCTCTGAGCTCGCGCCTCCCTGGGGCCTGGCCTGTGGGGTGCAGGAGCCCAGGCTGTACCAGCTCAGCCTCAGCAGGTTTCTGGCTGCCCCTCCAGCCTCTTCCTGGGGGCCCTGATGCTGTGGGCAGGGCCCGGAGTCAGTTCCTCAAGGGGCCTGTGCCTGCGTCCCCACCCCCAGCAGGCAGCCGCCCAGAAAAGCCCTCGGGGAGGGTCCTGGGGAGAAGCCTGGATCTTTGGAGTGTGGGCCACCGGCTCTCCCACTTTCAGAGGGAGCAGTGAGCCCTCCGGGGTGTTTGGGGTGGGCCTCAGACACAGGATCCCCAGGCCCAGTGAGAGCTCCACTATCCCACCCAGCTGTGCATTGGAGCTGGGGCCTGTGGCAACCAGGACACTGCGTGGCACATGCCCTCCACCCTCCACCCTCCACCCCTGCTTCAGGGTCCCGGGGCATGCATGCACGCACCAACCTGGACGCAAACCCCAAACCCGACCCTCCCCTCACCAGTGGCTCCTGTCCTCCCCAGGGCTGCCTGCGCCTTGGGGACGGCCCAGTGCACCCAAAGGGACCACAGCGGCCCTTAGGGAGGCTATCAGGTGGGGCACAAGCCGCCACCTAACCGTGCCTTCGCCACAGGGGCCCTCAGAGAGGCTGCCAGGTGGGGCACAAGCTGCCACCTAACCCTGTCTTCTTGTTTTTTTGCTCAGGGAGAGCCGGGCTTCCGAGGACCCCCGGTAAGTCGGTCCCTGGCTTTCTCTGCACTGAGCTCGGGCATGACGGCCCCCAAGGACACGGTCGCCCGCGGCTGCTGAGCTTGTGCTGTGCGGCCCAGGGCTCATCTCCCTAGTGCAGTTTTAAAGCGTGTGGGGCAGGTGTCGGCGTGAGGCTGCAGTGGGCTCCTCCGAGCTGATGGGTGGCCCAGGGTGCTGTGCTCTGCATGGCCCCTCCCCTTCCCCAGGACCCCCCAACTCGTGGTCAAGGGCCAGGGTCTGCCCCACTAAGCCTGGCCCCCTTCCTCTTGCAGGGTCCATACGGACGGCCGGGGTACAAGGGAGAGATTGGCTTTCCTGGACGGCCGGTGAGGACCTGGGGTCTCCAGTGGGGGCGGCAGATGGGGTCTGGCAGGTGGGGAGCAGCCCAGGCCCACGGGGGTGACATGCCCAGAGGGGAGTGGACGGCCGCCGCACCCACTGTCCTCCCCCAAGAACCGGCCCTGCCTGAGCGCAGCTCTTGTCCTGGATGTGGCTGGCAGTACCCCACGAGGGGCCAGTACCCAGGAGGAAGCCCTGGAGGCAGACAGGGCAGTGGGCCTGTGTGTGCTAGGCTCAGTCACCTCCTCCCAAAAGGGTCCTTGTGCAGGAAAGGGGTGAGAAGGGCCGGGGTAGCCTGAGAGCTGGGAACGTGTGAGGCTGAGCGTGGGCCGGCCGGGCCTGGCGTGGGGCTAACGGCAGGCACCCTGCGGGAAGGTGTCTGGTAATCATCAGTGCCCAGCAGTCCCCACCCCCTGTGCTCCGCCCCAGGGTCGCCCCGGGATGAACGGATTGAAAGGAGAGAAAGGGGAGCCGGGAGATGCCAGCCTTGGATTTGGCATGAGGGTGAGTGTCTCTCAAGGGGCGGACTGGGTGGCTGGGAGACCAGGACCTGGGAATGGCCTGGCCACAGCCTGGGGTCCTGCAGCTCCTCCCAGAGGCCACTTATAAGCAGCCCTGCCATGTGGCCACACAGCACTGGTCATGCCATACCCATGCACAGTCATACATGTCCACACACGCACACGTGTGCCCAAACATGCATGCACATATATGGCCGTACTCATACATGTGTGCACATATACACATGCATCTATGCACATACATGCCCATACACACGCGCACACATACACGCACACACACATCCACACGTGCTCATGTGTGTACACATGCCCATACACTCCACATAGGTGCACATATACACATGTATTCATGCATATACGAGCCTGTCCACGTGCACACCCATACAGGTATATACATACACTCATACATGTGCACGTATCCACATGTGTATCCACATACATGACTATGAGCCCTCCCTGGCCCATTCCATGATGGGCATACACACTGCACATGTATACTCATGCACACATACATATACACATGCATACACACCAATACACATATATGCACACATGTGCACCCATATACACACATACAACAGGCCCCTGTGGATTCTCAGCAGGGCATCCATGGGCCTGGGCCATGCCCTCCATGCCCTCTATGCCCTCCATGCCCTCCATGCCCTCCAAGCCCTCCATGCTGGGGGTTCTCCCGCTCAGCCCAAAGGTGTCCACTCTGCTGTCTTTTGAGCCAAGAGCTTTGTCTCCCTGATGTCAGCAGGGTGGGGCATTTTCAGTCACCTTTTTACCTGAGACGCAGACCCGGTGGCCTCTTCACTCCTCCCGAGGGACGTCTGTGCACGACTCCAGCGTGGGATGAGGTGGGGCCGGGGCCAGTTCCTGTCCTCAGGGAGCCGTGGCCCGAGTGACCCACTGCATTCTCGGTTTTGCCTGGTCAGAGGTCTGCCTGGTCAGGTTTCTGATTTTTCTGATTTTTCTGAACTGTCTCTGCTCCCAGCTGCTGCCTGACAGGCAGGCCATAAGCCTAACAGCTCTCTGCCCTCCCCACAGGGAATGCCCGGCCCCCCAGGACCTCCAGGGCCCCCAGGCCCTCCAGGGACTCCTGTTTACGACAGCAATGTAAGTCCCCAGGGCACCCACTGTCCTACAGCCACCCTTGGCTGTCACACAGAGCCCCACAGAGGGGCTGGGCCTTCTTCTCCCCTGGCCTCTGCGTCTGGGGGTCCTTCTAGGATGTGCCAGTCTGGTGGGCAGTGGATTAGCAGCTGAGTTCCCACGGAAGGTGAAGGCCTGGGAAAGGGAGGGCTCTCTGGGTGTGGAGCTGCTTCCAGCTGGCTCTGCTAAGGGCCTGAGCCCAGGGTTGCTAGGGGCACCCCCATTTTCCCAGGCTCAGCAAGGTGAAGTGACCAATGAGGGCCAAGTGGCGTCAGGCCGTGGCTCCTGCTCTCCGTACCCCTGTTCCCTCCCGTCTCTGACTGGGGGAGGCTGCTATGTGGCCTCATACAGGGGCTGGTGCTTCTGGGCTTGGGGACCCCTGAGTGGTGGTGGCCTCCATTTCAGAACATCGCCCTCAGCAGCCGCCTCTCCCCGTTCCTTGCAGGTGTTTGCTGAGTCCAGCCGCCCCGGGCCTCCAGGATTGCCAGGTGAGGGTCCTGGGCTCACAGCTGGGGACACAGGCTCTGAAGGGATGCTCCAGAGCCCCACCTTCCTTCCCGTGCCAGCAGCAGTGAGACTCCCCCAGTGGCCCAAGGCCAGTGCTACACGCCCAGCCCACGCCCCAGTTCCGATGACCTTGGCCCTTCCTGCGGGCCCTCCCAGCACAGCCGTCCAGGACCTGACCTTGGGGTGGCCCCCATTTGCTGTTCTCCGTTGAGATTTTGCTTCTCTGGCCAAAGCAGGGTGGAAGCAGCCCCGTCCCTCCTGTTGGTCAGCACGTGCCCTGCAGGTGTGGCCTGGCCCCCACATGGCCTGCTGACGGGGACCCAGGGCGCCCCTGCTCTCCAGCAGCTCCTACCCTGACTGTCCCCATGTCCATCTGATGCCCCCCCATCCAGGCCCCCAGGCACTAGGGCATTTCGGGCAGGAGGGGCACCACCCTGGAGTCCTCCCTGGCACATTCCTGATGGGCACTGGGTCTCTCTTCCTCCAGGGAATCAGGGCCCTCCAGGACCCAAGGGCGCCAAAGGAGAAGTGGGCCCCCCCGGACCACCAGGTGAGCAACTCTGGACATCCCAGGCAGGAGAGCCATGGCGTGGCCAGCACTGAAGTGTGGTCACACCTAGAGCCGCCACCACAAGCAGGTCCTGGACCCTCACTGGGTGGTGACCACCTCACCCTGCGGGAGGAAGGAAGCCCCTTCTGGGTTGATGGGGGCCTCATAGGACCTGGATTTGGGGGCGAGGGTGGCTGCAGGGCACAAGCCCAGCAAGATAGCCCCATCACCTCCTGAGGAGCAGATGGCTGCCCTTCCATGCTAGACCCAGGTGGGCACTGCGCAGAGACACAGCAGCTTCAGTGTCCTGAGATGCCCCCTCCCCTCCACGGGGCCGGGGGTCGGCACTGGAGGACCCTCTGTCGAGAAACTCTCCAGGGTTTCATGTGGGAAGGAGGCGTTGCCCGACAGGCCGTCTGGAGGGTGAGCCCAGCACCCCTGCTCCCCCAAAGGACAAGAATTCCCCCCTGAGCCCCACCTCCATTGAGGGTGGCAGGGCTGCTTGGATGTCCTGCCAAGACCACTGAGAACAGCTGGATAAAATGTGAGAAAACCACTGTTTGAGGATGTCTGGGGGCTGGCAGAGCAGAAGCCCAGAGAGCCAGGCTAGCCTCGGGCGCCTTTCACCACCAGGGTCCCCTCTCGCCGCCACGGTCCCCTCTCGCCGCCAGGGTCCCCTCTCACCGCCAGGGTTCCCTCTCGCCACCACGGTCCCCTCTCGCCGCCAGGGTCCCCTCTCGCCGCCAGGGTCCCCTCTCGCCGCCACGGTCCCCTCTCGCCGCCAGGGTCCCCTCTCGCCGCCACGGTCCCCGCTCGCCGCCAGGGTCCCCTCTCGCTGCCAGGGTCCTCTGCAGAGGAGGCCGCCATACCTGCTCTTGCTGGGGCTGCACTCTGGGGTGGGAAGGGACCAGGCAGGCAGAGGCCGAGTCTGGGCCGGGACATCCTTAAGGCCTGTGGAGGCAAAGGCAGGCAGAAAGCAAGCGGGAAGATGGAAGATGTGCCCATGCCAGCCTTGGATCTCTCAGCGTCACACACGACGCCCAGGAAGGAGTGAATGATGCACAGATGACCAGAAACCAGGAGAAGAGGCCAGTGACACACCAGACCAGGAGGCCCAGCTCATGGGGTCATCGGACCCACCTTGAACTCTGAAGGTCACACATTCAAAAGCCACAGGAAGTCTGGAGATGGCAGCAGAGAGCTGGGAAGCTCAGAGGTGTCAGGATGAACCTGGGGCTGAAGGCGGAACAGTTGGAGATTGAGACCTGTGTATAGGTTTTGGTCGACGTGGGATTGCTTGTCCCTGGGAGCCAGAACGAGGGCTCCGAGGGCTCTAGAGGGAACAGTGTTTGCAGGCGGAATGGCTGATGCTCTTCCAAAGCCAAGGAAGGCTCAGAGCATTCCCCTCATTCGAAGGATCAACAATTAGAGTGACGAGATTTCTCAACAAAACGGGAGAAGCCAGAAGACCATAAATGGTTTCCAAAATATCCAAGAAAGTCAATTGCCAGTGTAGACTCCGACAGCCAGTGGTACTCCCGTGGCCTTCAGAACGAGGATGACATGCAGGCCAGCCACTCCAGACCCGAGCTGTGTCGGCAGTGGAGGGTATTTCAGGGGGAAGACAAGGCCAAGGGAAAGGAGTGCAGAGATGGGGAGAGACAACGCTGGCAGGAACCGGCGTCCCAGCGACAGGGAGGTCAGAGGCTCCCTCGGGAACCAGCGTGGGCTGCCCCACATGGCATCCCAGGAACAGTGGGGTCAGAGGCTCCCGCGGGAACCCGTGTGGGCTGCCCCGCATGGCATCCCAGGAACAGTGGGGTCAGAGGCTCCCTCAGGAACCTGTGTGGGCTGCCCCGCATGGCATCCCAGGAACAGTGGGGTCAGAGGCTCCCTCGGGAACCCGCGTGGGCTGCCCCGCATGGCATCCCAGGAACAGTGGGGTCAGAGGCTCCCGCAGGAACCGGCACAGGCTGCACAGCATGGTGTCCCATCGTCAGTGCAATTAGAGGTTCCCGTGGTCTCAGCGCCCTGGGGAGTGGTGGTAGTTCTCACTATATTGGACGGTGAGGTTGGAGAGGAATGCAGAGCTAACACTGGTGGAGAGGCAGGAGGGCAGGCAGGACGGCACACACACAGGACGTTTAAAACACACAGAGTAGATCCAAAAGAAGGCAAAACATGAGAGAAAAAGGAATGCAGAACACGTGGGATGAATAGAAACTAGGGAATAAACAGTAGATTTAGGTCCCGATACATCTACAGGTGCTGTAAGTATGACGAGGGTAGATACATCCATTGAAGGACAGACATTGTCAATGGGATATGGCTAAACCATGTGCCGCTTACAAGAGACGCTCCCCGAACGTGAGGGCTGGAGAGGTCGAGGCACCCAGAGGCTGGTGTGGGTTTGGGTGTGTGTGGAGTGTGTGTATGTGGGTGTGCTGAGTGTGTGCAGTGTGGGGGTGTGGGTGGAGTGTGGAGTGTGTGCATGTGGGTGTGTAGTGTGGGGGTGTATAGTGTGGGTGTGTGTGGAGTGTGTGTGGCTGGGTTGGGTGTATAGTGTGGAGGTGTGAGGGGGTGTGTGGAGTGTGCATATGTGGGTGTTGGGTGTGTAGTGGGGGTGTGTGGAGTGTATATGTGGGTGTGTAGTGGGGGTGTGAGGGGTGTGGAGTGTGCATATGTGGGTGTTGGGTGTGTAGTGTGTGAGGGGGTGGGGGTGTGTGGAGTGTGTGTATGTGGGTGTTGGGTGTGTGGTGTGGGGTGTGTGTGGAGTGTGGCTATGGGGGTGCTGGGTGTGTAGTGTGGGGGTGTGGTTTGGTGTGTTGCGTGTGTAGTGTGGGGGTGTGGTTTGGTGTGTGTTGGGTGTGTAGGGTGTGGTTTGGTGTGTGTTGGGTGTGTAGTGTGGGGGTGTGGTTTGGTGTGTTGGGTGTGTAGTGTGGGGGTGTGGTTTGGTGTGTGTGTGTTGGGTGTGTAGTGTGGGGGTGTGGTTTGGTGTGTGTTGGGTGTGTAGTGTGGGGGTGTGGTTTGGTGTGTGTGTGTTGGGTGTGTAGTGTGGGGGTGTGGTTTGGTGTGTTGGGTGTGTAGTGTGGGGGTGTGGTTTGGTGTGTGTGTGTTGGGTGTGTAGTGTGGGGGTGTGGTTTGGTGTGTGTTGGGTGTGTAGTGTGGGGGTGTGGTTTGGTGTGTTGGGTGTGTAGTGTGGGGGTGTGGTTTGGTGTGTGTGTGTTGGGTGTGTAGTGTGGGGGTGTGTTTTGGTGTGTGTGTGTTGGGTGTGTAGTGTGGGGGTGTGGTTTGGTGTGTGTGTGTTGGGTGTGTAGTGTGGGGGTGTGGTTTGGTGTGTGTTGGGTGTGGAGTGTGGGGGTGTGGTTTGGTGTGTGTGTGTTGGGTGTGTAGTGTGGGGGTGTGGTTTGGTGTGTGTTGGGTGTGGAGTGTGGGGGTGTGGTTTGGTGTGTGTGTGTGTGTGTGCAAAGTATATCCTGGAGTAAGAAACATGGTCAAAAATAAATGTTCATTGAGACAACGGAGCAAGTCTACCAGAGAAATTGAGTAATTCTACATTTCTATGCATCTAATGAGATAGCCTCAAGATATGACAAGTGAAAAATTGGCAAAGTGAAAAAGAAAAACACAAATCAATCATTATAGGGGGACTTTCAGCCCAGGGAGATCTGAACATCAGGTCTGACAGGCGTCACCTGCGAAGGTCTCCAGGCCACGTCCCCAGCATCGGGACCGGGGTCTGCCCCAGAGGGGCCCAGGCTGGGCTGAAAGCAGGCCTGGCTTCCAGGAACTGTGACCCCACGAGTGCAGTAGAAGCAAGTGGGAAGTGCCCACAGGGCAGTGGTCTTCCACGTGGCTCAGGAATCCAGGAGAAGCAGGTGGAAGTCAGAAACCCCTGGGAGCTTAGGTGCGTCCAGGGCATCCTCAGCCCTCACACTGCAGCCGCAGGGGCCTTGCCCTGCACAATCCCCGGTCTCCCAGGTGGTGGGGCCTCCACAGCCGGTCACCTCCCTCTGCAGAAGGACCCCCAGGGGCTCCACAGCCGGTCACCTCCCTCTGCAGAAGGACCCCCAGGGGCTCCACAGCCGGTCACCTCCCTCTGCAGAAGGACCCCCAGGGGCTCCACAGCCGGTCACCTCTCTCTGCAGAAGGACCCCCAGGGGCTCCACAGCCGGTCACCTCCCTCTGCAGAAGGACCCCCAGGGGCTTCAAAGCCGGTCACCTCCCTCTGCAGAAGGACCCCCAGGGGCTCCACAGCCGGTCACCTCCCTCTGCAGAAGGACCCTCAGGGGCCTCCGCAGCCGGTCACCTCCCTCTGCAGAAGGACCCTCAGGGGCTCCACAGCCGGTCACCTCCCTCTGCAGAAGGACCCTCAGGGGCCTCCGCAGCCGGTCACCTCCCTCTGCCGAAGGACCCCCAGGGGCTCCACAGCCGGTCACCTCCCTCTGCAGAAGGACCCGGAGCAGGGCCCAGCCCGAGAGGGAGCACGGGTCCTGACAGCAGCAGTGACCTCCAACCCCAGGGACGGCTCCTGTGGGATGGGGGGCCCTGGGGGTGTGGAGCCACGTGCTCCAAAGCTTCTGGGTTACAGGGCATGCCTCCAGGGGTGAGGTGGTCCCCACCCCGGTCACGGTTTCAGGGGAACAGTCACAGGAGAAGGTTTGCCCAGGGCCGTCTAAGGTCCCACCTGGAAGGAGAAGGGGTTTTGTCATCTCCGTTGACAAAATTACAGCTTTAAGTAGTACCTGTTTCTACACATCAGCCTAAGATGTTAAAGAACAAACAGCATTTAAAGAACAACAAACAGTTATTTGATGAAAATAGATGGGAAGAAGTATTAAACATCAAAAATGAGTGAAGAGAAATTGCGTATGTTTTATATATAAAAATAGCAAGGATCAAGAAAGTCCAAAAATCCAAAGTTAATTCTTTGCAAAGGCGAACAACATTCCTGCACCTCTGCCGGGACTGAGGAAAAGGAGAGAAGCAGCAACAAGCAGGGATTTCAGCAAAGGGCTCCTCCGTGGTCTGGAAGGAGCCACCTGGAACTGCCACAGCTTCACCCTTGGAGAGGGTGGAGGGACCCTCAAGTCAGGGCCAAGACACAGCTGCCTGCCCACCCTGGGAGGAGGCAGAGGAGAGATGGGAAGGGCAGGACGCTGGGAGGAAAGAAGCGCGTTGCTCTTTTCTCAGCACGTCTCCCACGTAAGCCCCACAAGTGGATCTGCAGGTGAACTCTCAGGATGAGTAAGTCAATGTACCGAAGTCACCAGATGGAAGGGCAGTCTAGAAAAACCACCACCGAGTCCTAAGCAATTAAAAATGAAGTTTTAAAAAGGCACCATTGTGAATAATGTCGCAATAAACATACGTGTGCATGTGTCTTTATAGCAGCATGATTTATAGTCCTTTGTGTATATACCCAGTAATGGGATGGCTGGGTCAAATGGTATTTCTAGTTCTAGATCCCTGAGGAATCGCCACACTGACTTCCACAATGGTTGAACTAGTTTACAGTCCCACCAACAGTGTAAAAGTGTTCCTATTTCTCTACATCCTCTCCGGCACCTGTTGTTTCCTTACTTTTTAACGATCGCCATTCTAACTGGTGTGAGATGGTATCTCATTGTGGTTTTGATTTGCATTTCTCTGATGGCCAGTGATGATGAGCATTTTTTCATGTGTTTTTTGGCTGCATAAATGTCTTCTTTTGAGAAGTGTCTGTTCATGTCCTTTGCCCACTTTTTGATGGGGTTGTTTGTGGCACATATACACCATGGAATACTACGCAGCCATAAAAAATGATGAGTTCATGTCCTTTGTAGGGACATGGATGAAATTGGAAATCATCATTCTCAGTAAACTATTGCAAGAACAAAAAACCAAACACCGCATATTCTCACTCATAGGTGGGAACTGAACAATGAGATCACATGGACACAGGAAGGGGAACATCACACTCTGGGGACTGTTGTGGGGTGGGGGGAGGGGGGAGGGATAGCATTGGGAGATATACCTAATGCTAGATGACGAGTTAGTGGGTGCAGCACACCAGCATGGCACATGTATACATATGTAACTAACCTGCACATCATGCACATGTACCCTAAAACTTAAAGTATAATAATAAATTTAAAAAATTTAAAAATAAAATAAAAATAAAAAGGCACCATTAACAAAAACATCAGAAAGTATCGGTTAACTAGGAAGAACCTAATTAAATACGCGATCTCTACCGCGAAATGGCTAGAAGGGCCTCAGGCAAACCCACCAGTGCTGGGGGCTGCAGAGGGAACCCGGCGCTGTCAGACACCACCTCAGCGAGACCCCGCCTGTCTCTCTCTTGCAGGGCAGTTTCCGTTTGACTTTCTTCAGTTGGAGGCTGAAATGAAGGTGGGTGACCTCCCTGTGGGGTTGGGGGCCCCCAAGGTCCTGTACATCCCGCTGGGTGGCTGCTCCCAATTTCTCGCCCCATCCGGCCCAAGCCCCCTTCCTGTTCAGCCCTGCGAGGGGCGCTGGCTCCAGAGGGTGTCGAGGGCGTCCCTCAGGATGTTCCTGTCCCCGGCTCAGTTTTTGGGGGACTCGGCTGATGCAGTGGGAGGTGGGGAGTCGAGCCCTATTCTATGCAGCCAGCAGCTCCCAGGCCTGGGCTCCGGAAGCTTCTGACTGCCCAGCCCTGGCTCGGGGGGATGGGAGGCCACCTGTGGCTTGTAGGGGTTCAGGGCTCCCGTGTAACAAGTGTTTCCGTCCACAGGGGGAGAAGGGAGACCGAGGTGATGCAGGACAGAAAGGCGAAAGGGGGGAGCCCGGGGGCGGCGGTTTCTTCGGCTCCAGCCTGCCCGGCCCCCCCGGCCCCCCAGGCCCCCCAGGCCCACGTGGCTACCCTGGGATTCCAGTAAGTCCCAGCCTGTGCAGGCAGAGCCCATGTCCCAGGGGTCTGGGTGCAGGAGCCGAGGGCAGGTCCAGCCCGGCCTTCGACACCCGCGAAGGCCGGAGCTGCCCCTGCAAGCTCAGCAGCCCCGACATGTCCCTGTCCCCGTGTGGGGACGCAGCAGGCCACATGGGTGTGGGTGCACTGACCCCGGACACCCCCCGTCCCCCTGCAGCGTTCCATGGCCTGCCCTCCTGCTGGGGCCACGTGCATCCACCTCTGCTCCTGGGCCGGGTCAGGTCAGATCAGGGTTTAGGCCCATCAGTCCTGAAAGACTCCAGAGAGCCATGGGCCCCAGCTACTGCCTGGGGGCCCACACTGTTGTCAGGTCTCTGCTGGTCTCTCCCCCGGGATCGCACCCCCAGGGAAGAAGGGGTGATGGTGTGGGGGTTTCTCAGGCTATGGCGTGGGCAGGGAGGGGACCGGTGACTCAGAGGCTGCGCTCGCCAAGGGGGTCTTGGCAGCTGCAGCCCCACAAGCTTGCCCGCCCCCAGTCCAGGGCACGAGGTAACCAGGAAGCGTCTCTTGTCGCCGTCCGTAGGGTCCCAAGGGAGAGAGCATCCGGGGCCAGCCCGGCCCACCTGGACCTCAGGGACCCCCCGGCATCGGCTACGAGGGGCGCCAGGGCCCTCCCGGCCCCCCAGGCCCCCCAGGGCCCCCTTCATTTCCTGGCCCTCACAGGCAGAGTAAGTCAGTGGGGAGTGGGCCCCGGGCAGAGGCCGCCTCGTGTGGCTTCGTGTTCCCACCTTGGTTTCTCTCCTGCAGCTATCAGCGTTCCCGGCCCTCCGGGCCCCCCTGGGCCCCCTGGGCCCCCTGGAACCATGGGCGCCTCCTCAGGGGTAAGTGTCTGGGCAGCCGGCTGGGCACCTGCGTCCCGTGCCCTGGCTGGTTCTGCAGCCCCTGCCCCTCAGAGACACTCTCCCACGGACCCCACAGGGAGATATACAGGAGGCCAAGATGCGGTTTCCAGGGTGGAAGCGGGGCCAGGCCATGGGGGAATCAGGTGGACCCAGGAGGACGACCACCAGCCGGGAAGTGCCCAGGGCCTGTACATTGTCCACGGAGGCGCAGGAGCTGGCGGCAGGCAGGGGTCCCCATGGTGCTCATGGGGGCAGCCGCCTCAGTCCACACCTGTCCAAAGCCCTGCGGCCCCTGCCCAGCACCCTGAAACGGGCATTCCTTCCTTCCGCCCCTGCCCCCCGCCCTCCCCGCCAAGCCCCACACCTCTGCATTTGGTCCCAGCAGGTGAGGCTCTGGGCTACACGCCAGGCCATGCTGGGCCAGGTGCACGAGGTTCCCGAGGGCTGGCTCATCTTCGTGGCCGAGCAGGAGGAGCTCTACGTCCGCGTGCAGAACGGGTTCCGGAAGGTCCAGGTGAGCGCTCTGTGTGACGGGTTCTGGACCCGTGGAAGGGCCGAAGCCGCCTCCTGGGGCTTAAGGAAGGCGAGAGGCTCAGGCCCCGGACAGGGATGGGAGCAGGTGGCAGCCAGCGCTTCTTAAACTTTCAAACTTTTGGTAAAGTTTAGTAAAATACTTTTGTGAGCAGTTTTGGGTTTAAAGAAAAGTGAGCTCAAGCTTCTGAAAGTGGATGAACACATGGCGTGTGAGGGGCTCCTGGTGGGTCATGTCACAGTGAACGTTTACAAAGATAAATGTCACCTCACACACCCGATAATAAGACAAGGCGCCTGACGGGACGAGGCGGCAGGGGGGCTCAGGCCCTCCAGGGCCACGTGACGTCCACAGCACGGCCCCGGCTGGGGGGCAGGCTGTCCCGTGGCTCTGCACCCCGCGTTATAAACACCAAGGTGGGATGAAATGCATCCTCTCTGCTTAGCACGGGCCTTGCTCACCAGCCTGGCTCCTCAGACACACCTGGGATTGCCCCTTCCAGGACAGGCCAGCCCCTTTCCTGCTTTCCCAAAATGGTCTGGGTGGCAGGAGTGGCCGCTCTGATCCAGGTGGGTGCGGCCATGCTTGCAGGGCCCCGGGAAGGTTTACCTTCGTGTGGCAAAGGTGAGGACGGGTAGAAGCCCCATGCCGCCGAAACGGCCTGTGACATCCGTGGGAGCCTCCATGGCAGAACACTGCACACTGACACAGCCCTGACTCCTGGAGCCCTCCCACCTTCCAACACACCCACCTTCCTTCTAGAGCCCTCCCACCTTCCCTCTGGAACCCTCCCACCTTCCCTCTGGAGCCCTCCCACCTTCCCTCTAGCACTCCCTCCCTCTCGCCACCGGCCCCCTCCTAGGCCTGGCCAGCCCCTGCAGCACCCCAGACAGTGAATCCCACTCCAGTCCCTTCATCTGGCCAGGGAGAGGCTGCCAGTCTCATAGCAGATGCTGAGCTGGTGCCCACTGTGTGCCAGGTGTGCTTGTAGGCACCCGGATGCAGCCCCATCCTAACTTTCAGGGGCTTTGGTCCTGACAGGAGGAGGCAGGGGATGGCATCCTAGCAAACGCGTGCTGGGAGGGCTGGGTGCTGGGCAGGGAGGGCAACCTGCCGTGGACTGGGAGGGCTGGGTGCTGGGCAGGGAGGGCACCCTCCTGTGGGCTGGGAGGGCCGGGTGTTGGGGAGGGAGAGGCGGGTGCTGGGCAGGGAGGGCACCCTCCTGTGGGCTGGGAGGGCCGGGTGTTGGGGAGGGAGAGGTGGGTGCTGGGCAGGGAGGGCAACCTGCTGTGGACTGGGAGGGCCGGGTGCTGGGCAGGGAGGGCACCCTCCTGTGGGCTGGCAGGGCCGGGTGCTGGGCAGGGAGGGCACCCTGCTGTGGACTGGGAGGGCCGGGTGCTGGGCAGGGAGCGTACCCTGGCACAGGCTTGGAGGGGCAGGTGCTGGGCAGGGAGGGCACCCTCCTGTGGGCTGGGAGGGCCAGGTGCTGGGGCGGGAGAGTCGGGTGCTGGGCAGGGAGGGCACCCTGGCTCAGGCCCAGCCGCAGGTCCTGGGTGACCCTGCTGCTTTCTTCCAGCTGGAGGCCCGGACACCACTCCCACGAGGGACGGTAAGGAGCCTTTTTTCTGTTGAGACTGGTGGGTGGTCAGGACATGAGGGGGTATGTGCTGTCCCCTGTTTGAGGAACAACACGTGGTCCTTTGGAGTCCTGGAGCTGAACATGTGGCTCACCATCAGCCCCTGCTGCAGAAACTGGTGCAGGACACCCCACTACCTCTGTCTCAGCGCTGGCCCCCCAGTACCTCCGTCTCAGCTGCTGGCCTCACGAGGGAGCCCCTCTCATCCCTCAACTTTCCCAGTTGTGTCTGCCGCTCATTGCCCTCCTCAAGGTCAAAATCCTTGGGGCCAAAATCCACATCTTGTGTCTTTGCCTTCCCTCACCCAAAGTGCCAGACACAAGAATGGATATCTCTAAGAGTGGTGGGTGACTGGGTGGGTGAATCAATGGGGAGGTGGATGGATGGATGGGTGGATGGAGAGGTGGGTGAGTGGATACGTAGGTAGATGGGGAGGTGGATGGATGAGTAGATGGTGGACAGGTGGGTGAGTGGATGGATGGTGGTCAGGCGGGTGAGTGGACGGGTGGGTGGGTGGATGGAAAGGTGGGTGAGTGGATAGGTAGGTAGCTGGGGAGATGGATGGATGGTGGACAGGTGGGTGAGTGTATGAATGGGTGGGTGGATAGTGGGTAAGTGGGTGAGTGGATGGTGGACAGGTGGGTGAGTGGATGGGTAGGTAGATGGGGAGGTGGATGGGTGGTTGCTGGACAGGTGGGTGAGTGGATAGATGGGCAGATGGATGGTGGACAAGTGGGTGAGTGGATGGGTGGATGGATGGTGGGCAGATGGATGGTGGATAGGTAGATGAGTGGATGAATGGGTGGATGGATGGTGGGTAAGTGGGTGAGTGGATGGGTGGATGGACAGGTGGGTGAGTGGATGGGTGGGTGGATGGATGGTGGGTAAGTGGGTTAGTGGATGGGTGGGTGGATGGATGGGTAGAAATATTTTCGTTTTCCTAAGTGTTGCGTCCAGCTGCTGTCGGCCCCTCCTTGAGTAGAGGTCATGATTCCTTAATTGGCTCAGGAGTGAGGCCTGATGTGGAGCAGTGTCAGGGGCTCCACAGCGGCCTGTCTCCTCACAGGGTTCAGCCCAGTCTGCTCTCACTCATTTGCTGATTCATTCTTTCATTCAGCCAGTCAATAGTCATGGCCCCTCCTGTGTGCCGGGTGGCCATGGATATTGCCCTGGGTAACACACAGCCTGGCCCTGTGGAGCAGACAGTGGGGACAGCCATGTGGACAGGGTGCAGGTGGATGGCAATGGCAGCTGGGTCAGGAGGGGCTGAGGGCCGTGGGGAAAGGTGCAGAATCAATAGGGGCATCCGGACTGGGGTGCAGGCCTGGGGGCTGGGATTTCTAGGGTGGAGGTCACCTCTGAGGGAGACAGAGCAAGGCCCTGGGAGATTAGAAGGTCGAAGGTCGCCGTGTTGAGGTCAGGGGCCCTGAATTGGAGCCGCGGCAAAGGAGAGGGCAGGTCAGGGCACGTGGTGAGTGATTGCTGCGGCTTCTGAGCACGGCTGGGTCTGTGGGGCCTGAGCAGAGGTGACCCGCGATCCGGCGCCACGGCAGGCAGGACTCCCCACCCTTGCTGCTGCCTACACCCCCAGGGCAGCCCCAGAGTCGGGGGCGCAGCTCCCTGCTTGCCAGTTCAGAGCCCAGCCCCTCTCACCCAGCCCAGAGGAGGACACAGATGGAGGAGGGGCACCCGGAGGGTCCCCCCGCCGACAGGCCCCACGTCTCCCACCTGCAGGACAATGAAGTGGCCGCCTTGCAGCCCCCCGTGGTGCAGCTGCACGACAGCAACCCCTACCCGCGGCGGGAGCACCCCCACCCCACCGCGCGGCCCTGGCGGGCAGATGACATCCTGGCCAGCCCCCCTCGCCTGCCCGAGCCCCAGCCCTACCCCGGAGCCCCGCACCACAGCTCCTACGTGCACCTGCGGCCGGCGCGACCCACAAGCCCACCCGCCCACAGCCACCGCGACTTCCAGCCGGTGGTGAGTGCCCCCCCAAAGTGGGCTTGGCTCCATCTAGCCCCTCGGCTCTCGGCAGCAGAAGAGGGCCCAGCCCCTGCAGAGCTGCTGGGGGTCCCAGGCTTCGGCCATGGGTGGGGGTCTGGCGGCTCAGGGCCACTCAGGGCGGCTTGGCTGGCCCTGGGACTTGCCCTCTGGTGGCCAAGCAGTGGTCATGAAAGTCCAGCCGCTGTCACATCCTTGAGGAACCGGCGTACCTCCGCCTACAGCGGCAGCTGGGGGCACCCACGTGGCCCGGGGCTGCTCTGACCTGGCAGCGTATGGGGGCTGCTGCCTGGGCCCCTCAGTGTGTCACTTGCGCGCCTCCCGCTCAGCGCCCCTCGGCCGTGCCTGTCCACACAGGTGCGGGGCCGGGGTGGTGCGCCCGGGGCCTGGGTGCAGGGGGCAGCGTGGGACACAGCCCGTGACGCGCCCCTCTCCCCGCAGCTCCACCTGGTTGCGCTCAACAGCCCCCTGTCAGGCGGCATGCGGGGCATCCGCGGGGCCGACTTCCAGTGCTTCCAGCAGGCGCGGGCCGTGGGGCTGGCGGGCACCTTCCGCGCCTTCCTGTCCTCGCGCCTGCAGGACCTGTACAGCATCGTGCGCCGTGCCGACCGCGCAGCCGTGCCCATCGTCAACCTCAAGGTGGGTCAGTCCAGTCCTGAGGGCGCGGGCTCCTCGGCCCCCACTTGACCTCTGGGGTGAACTCCCAGCGGGGAGCTCCCCTCTAGGGCCTCTGGAGGCCACCATGTTACAGACACTGGCGCCTAGGCTGGCGACTTCAGGGCAGGCTCCGGGTGGGTCACACCCCTCCAGGCTCAGGCCAGGCCTCTGCATCCCTGGGCACTGCCACGTCCCCCAGGGCATCCCATGAGGCCCCCCCGTGGCCCCCTGACCCCCCGCTCCCCCGGCAGTGCCCCTCAGAGGGTCCCATGCTGCTGGACCAAGTGTCCACACAGGTGATAGGGCTCACATACAAGCCTGGAATCAGGAACCGTCCTTTGGGCCTCTAGTGCCATGCGGGCTGGTGGCCCCTCTGCCACAGCACCCATGTGGCTTTATTCTGTGGCCCCTTTTCGTGCACTGGGCTGTGGCTTCTGGGTGCCCCGGGGAGCACCCACATTCCCCAGAACCAACAGCAGAGGGGTCAGAGACCCAGGGCTGGGAGCAGGCGGCTGTGGCCTGGCGTTAGGGGACAGGGTCCCCTGCCTTAGCCAAGGCCTCTTGGGGTCTGCAGAGGCTGCCTGGCCAGGCCTGGCTCCCCCACGCTTGTTCCCTGGCAGGACATGCCCAGGGGCTGCAGAACCCCACCCCCCAAAAAAACACACACCCACAACACCCCACATACACCCCCAAACACCCCCCACACCCCACACACACAACACACCCCCCCCCCACACATCCACACCCCACATCCACACACCCCCCCACAAACACCCACACCCATCCACACCCCCACACACCACACACACATACACACGGTTTCTCTTCCAGGACGAGCTGCTGTTTCCCAGCTGGGAGGCTCTGTTCTCAGGCTCTGAGGGTCCGCTGAAGCCCGGGGCACGCATCTTCTCCTTTGACGGCAAGGACGTCCTGAGGCACCCCACCTGGTAGGTTCCCAGTGCCGTGTGAGCAGCTCTGAGAGCCCCAGCCAGGGAAGGCGGGCGGGCGGGCTCCTATCTGCAGTTTCCCCCCGAGTTTTTGGACAAATCTTATACATGCTCATTACTTTAAAATTACAAAATCCAAAAGAGCATTGAGAAAAATGAGAACTGCTCTGAGAAGTCATCATTAGCAATGCGTTTGAGAGCCAGGTAGTTGTAAGAAGGCCCCGAAGGTGCCCCCGGCCCTCTGCTCATGGCGGATAGACTCCATGTCTCCCGGATGTCACCAAGCCTGTGGTCAGCCATGTAAGCAGCGCAGCGAGTTTATTCACCGAGAATAAACTCCTCAAAGGGCAACACGGAGTCCGAGCATGTGTGCCCTTAAAATGTTGACAGAAATTTCCAGGGTATCTAGAAGAACGCTTCGTCCCAAATGTCGCTGTGCCCTCCCCACGTGAGCGCCGCGATTCTTCCAACACTCATGCATTTAGGGGTGTCTCGGGGTGCCACACAGCGTGTCCCCAGCAGTGCCTGGCCATCTGCTGTAACGGAGATGCACCTGCCAAGGGTCTCTGACAGGAGTGCTGTGGGCAGGGCTGGGCCCCAGGGAAGGCCTGAAAGCCAGGAGCCCGGGAGGCGGAGCTGGTTCCTAGCGAGGCAGCCACAGGAAGCCTCTGCTCAGCAGGCATGAGGGCCAGGTTCACCCAGCCAGGCCAAGCCCTGGCCCCTCTCCCCTCTGCCGTGGGTGTGTCTGGCAGAAGCAGCATGGGGGGCAGTCTGGGAGATGCAGCCCCCTCCACAGGCAGCCAGCAGGGAGGCCATGTGGCCCTCCAGGTTGTGGGAGCCTCTGCAGCCCCCTGGTAACCCCAGGGCTGGCCTCCTGCCTCCACCTTTCCTGCCCGGGGAGCGGCCTCTGCCCTAAGCAGAGCAGGTCTGGGTTTGACTGACGGCCCGGCGCGTCTTACAGGCCCCAGAAGAGCGTGTGGCATGGCTCGGACCCCAACGGGCGCAGGCTGACCGAGAGCTACTGTGAGACGTGGCGGACGGAGGCTCCCTCGGCCACGGGCCAGGCCTCCTCGCTGCTGGGGGGCAGGCTCCTGGGGCAGAGTGCCGCGAGCTGCCATCACGCCTACATCGTGCTCTGCATTGAGAACAGCTTCATGACTGCCTCCAAGTAGCCACCGCCTGGATGCGGATGGCCGGAGAGGACCGGCGGCTCGGAGGAAGCCCCCACCGTGGGCAGGGAGCGGCCGGCCAGCCCCTGGCCCCAGGACCTGGCTGCCATACTTTCCTGTATAGTTCACGTTTCATGTAATCCTCAAGAAATAAAAGGAAGCCAAAGAGTGTATTTTTTTAAAAGTTTAAAACAGAAGCCTGATGCTGACATTCACCTGCCCCAACTCTCCCCTGACCTGTGAGCCCAGCTGGGTCAGGCAGGGTGCAGTATCATGCCCTGTGCAACCTCTTGGCCTGATCAGACCACGGCTCGATTTCTCCAGGATTTCCTGCTTTGGGAAGCCGTGCTCGCCCCAGCAGGTGCTGACTTCATCTCCCACCTAGCAGCACCGTTCTGTGCACAAAACCCAGACCTGTTAGCAGACAGGCCCCGTGAGGCAATGGGAGCTGAGGCCACACTCAGCACAAGGCCATCTGGGCTCCTCCAGGGTGTGTGCTCGCCCTGCGGTAGATGGGAGGGAGGCTCAGGTCCCTGGGGCTAGGGGGAGCCCCTTCTGCTCAGCTCTGGGCCATTCTCCACAGCAACCCCAGGCTGAAGCAGGTTCCCAAGCTCAGAGGCGCACTGTGACCCCCAGCTCCGGCCTGTCCTCCAACACCAAGCACAGCAGCCTGGGGCTGGCCTCCCAAATGAGCCATGAGATGATACATCCAAAGCAGACAGCTCCACCCTGGCCGAGTCCAAGCTGGGAGATTCAAGGGACCCATGAGTTGGGGTCTGGCAGCCTCCCATCCAGGGCCCCCATCTCATGCCCCTGGCTGGGACGTGGCTCAGCCAGCACTTGTCCAGCTGAGCGCCAGGATGGAACACGGCCACATCAAAGAGGCTGAGGCTGGCACAGGACATGCGGTAGCCAGCACACAGGGCAGTGAGGGAGGGCTGTCATCTGTGCACTGCCCATGGACAGGCTGGCTCCAGATGCAGGGCAGTCATTGGCTGTCTCCTAGGAAACCCATATCCTTACCCTCCTTGGGACTGAAGGGGAACCCCGGGGTGCCCACAGGCCGCCCTGCGGGTGAACAAAGCAGCCACGAGGTGCAACAAGGTCCTCTGTCAGTCACAGCCACCCCTGAGATCCGGCAACATCAACCCGAGTCATTCGTTCTGTGGAGGGACAAGTGGACTCAGGGCAGCGCCAGGCTGACCACAGCACAGCCAACACGCACCTGCCTCAGGACTGCGACGAAACCGGTGGGGCTGGTTCTGTAATTGTGTGTGATGTGAAGCCAATTCAGACAGGCAAATAAAAGTGACCTTTTACACTGACTCTTGGTTTGCAAGCAGCCTTCACTGTCACAGGAAGGACACAATTCTCCAAAAGGAGTTCTCAGGAGTCTTTTATCCCTGGACTGCCCCACTGGCAGATCCCGAGTGTGCACAGGCACGCACGGTTACATGGGGTATGCATGCATGGCCATACACAGGCGTGCAGTTGTACACAGGTGTGCAGGAGCATCCATAGTGTGCACAGGTACACAGGCATGCACGGGTGTGTGGACACACACCAACACTCTTAGGTCTCTCCTCACAGCAGGACCTGACTTGCTCCCAGCAACACTACATCCTGACAGCCATCCCTGTCCTGGTGGACGGGTGAGTGCAGGACTCAGAGGCAGGCAGGCAGTGGGTGCAGTGAGCAGGCTGCGGAGGGAGCAGGCCCTCAGGTTGGGGAGGCGCTGGGAGGAGGATTCTGATGGCGGTGTGGGCCTCCCCAGTGACGCTCTAGCCCATGGCACAGGCCCAGCCCACCTCCACCCATCACATCCTGCTAGATCTACGAGCCCAGGAAATGGCTGGTGCAGACCCCCCCCCAAGCAGGGTCCCCAGGGTGGCCATGACAGAGCCCCTGGATGCACCTGGGACCATGGCCCTGTCTGACTGGCACCATCCACTGACTCGGGCCATCTTCCACGTGCAGCCTCTGCCTCAACCCAGGGTACCCCAAGATGCCTGCTCCCCTGAGCCACCTCGGGAGACCCCTGGGTCCAGCAGCTCCAGCAGCCCCTCCCCAGCCAGAGATTCTCTCCCCAGCTCTCCGTGCTGAGCAGCCAGCCATTCACCTGGGGCCGCTGAGATGTGGCAGAGGCCCCACAGGATAGGGCCGTTGACTAGGGTTGTGGGGGTGCTCAGCTCATGGGCACCAAGGCCCTGCGTGGGCTGGAGGCGGGAGAAGGCTGGGACGCCTCTCCTGGCCTCCTCACTGACTGCTGACCCTCAACCCCCAGGCCAGGCCGGCCCTGAATCAGAAGCCCTGCGCACACTCACTTAAGTGTGTTTAATGTATGTGGGAAGAGTATTCACATCACATCAGATGGTCCCGCACCTGTGGGCAAGGCACTAGCGCTCCTTAGACCCTGAGGCCGCTGGGACGTACTTCCCCAGCGCCCACCACAAAGGCAGCCCCCCCAAGGCTGCCCAGCCCAGGCAAGCCTGGCACATACCAAGGCCAGCACGTCCGCGGTGACCGGGACCAGTCCCCTCCGGGCTGGCACAAGTGTGGGAGCAGCTGAGGACCCGCAGGTCAGGATGGACACACTTCAGAAGGACAGACAGGACCATGGAGGGCTGCCCTTAGGGTGGGAGAGAGGAACCAGCTCCGAGGACCAGAGCCGCTGCTCCCCTCTGATGACAATGTGTCTGCCGCCAACCTGAGATGGCTTTTCCACAGAGACAGAGAAGCCACATGCAGTTCTTCATTCTACGTCAGTTAAAAAAAAAAAAAGCATCTTTCAAAAAAGCAAGAGCACCAAGGATGACCAGCAATGTCACAGCTCAGCTACACCTGAGGGTCCCGGCTCCCACCCTGCCCTAGAGGGCTCACAACTCCTGTGGGGCCAGTGTCCCCTGAGCTGGTATCCAAGAGGCCACTTCACTAGCCCTGGGGGGCAGAAAGGATTTGTCTCAAGCCCCCCAAGGGGCATGAGCCAGTGAGGCCTGGTGGACGCAGAAGCCCACCACCCACCTCTTCCAGCAACAAAGCCCGCGGGGCACAGTGCAGGGACAGCATGGCCAGGCAGCTGCCCTGAGTGTCGCCAGCACGCTGTGGCCACCGCCAGAGTGCGGCACAGGGCAGGGGGAATCCTAGGGGGCCTGCTAGCAGGATAAGCGGAGGCCCCCATTGCTAAGGCAGGCGGCCCTCGAGGCAGGGGTCGTGGGGATGCACTGAGGGCCGCCTGCAAAGTTACCACAGGGGCGCCCGAGAGTCACTGGTTCACATTCTGAACACCGTCGCTTGGAAGACACTGCAAACCCAGCTTGCTGACACCAGGAGGATGGACAGCCAGCTGGGGACAAGTCTCATCTGCAGCCTCAGGGCCTGAGGCTTGGGCGGAGCACAGAGTGCAGGGGGAAGGGGTTGTCACTGGGCTCAGGAATTCAGCTGCCTGCGGGGCCGGGGCCTGGGCCAGGTATGGGTCGCTCTGTCTCTGCTCCAGGGAGGCTGGCCCCACAGCCCCCAGGCTGTCTTCTGGGGAAAGCGGCGGGCTCTGGGCTGGCTGCAGGCCTCCGAGGCCCTTGTCCTGCACGCTCAGTGCCTGTGCTGCCTTCTCCTCCGCGGCACTCCTCAGGCCCTGGGCCGGGGGCTGCCGCGGGTGGTGGCCCCGCTGGCAGTGCCGCAGGCCATCCAGCATGGCCCCCAAGAAGTAGATGATGGACAGGATCAGGAAGTACACGGAGTATAACTGGAACTGGAAAGAGAGGCCGGGTGAGGCGGGTGGGGAGGGCCTGGCTGGGACACTGGCACCCTACACCCCGACGCCTGCTCCCAGGCTCACCCTCCTCCAGCTCAGAGGCTGACCCTGAACACTGCACAGCGGTCAGAGGCCAGCCCCAGGAGCAGGTGCCACAGTGCTCACCACAGCCCCCCCGACCTCCACCACCTGGCACAGGCCTGAAGGGGGGTTCCCACCATTTCCCAAGAACCCCTCGGAACCTGGCAGGTGGCCTGCTTCTGCGTGGCCTGCGGTGTCTGCTCCCGAGTCCCCTGCTTGGTGGTGCTTGCTGCCCCCCCATGGTGCTGAGACAGCGGAAGGGTGCCCATGAGGGCCAGAACGTCCCGCCTGGCAGAGCAGGGTGAGGAGAGCCACAGCAGGTGACCAGGAGCTGATCCCCAGGGCTTCGCGCCCAGAGCAACCCCCAGCAGCCTGCACATGGAGCCCGTCTCCATCTCGGCAGCGGAAGCTGTGCTACGATGACCAGAAGGAGCAGCACCAGCGTTGGCCACATCTCTCCTGATTCTCGCAGCTGCCAGGGGCAGGAGGGACTGGAGATGTCCCTGGGACACCAGGGAGGGACCTGATCATTCCCGGAGGTGCAGAGGGTTCAGGAGGCTGCAGTGCCCTCAGGACATCCGTGGGCAGAGCCCAGTGAGTCCCGCCCAAGACCCCTGAGGCCCCAGCTCCACATCCGCAGGCCAGAATCCCTGCAGCCCATCGGCACCGGCACCCTTCCAGGACAGCTGTTTTTAAAGCAAACTGAGGAAGATGGGGCTGACACGCTTCTCCCTGCTCTTCTCCTACCCAAGACACTGAGATAAACACCTGGGAAGACTCTGAAAGCAGGAGCGAGGAGGACAGACTGACCAGGCCCTCGGGGTCTGGGGAGCTGTGCCACACAAGGGCAGACTGGCCGGGCCCTCGGGGTCTGGGGAGCTGTGCCACGCAAGGACAGACTGTGCCACGCAGAGCTCCCTGGGGGCTTTTCTTTTCACCTCAGATATTTTGAAACTGAAGAAGGCAGCAGGCTGGAAAAGACAACAGATGCAGAAAAAAGAGCCCATGGAAGCAGCTCTCTCTGGCCTAAGACCCAGGGAAGGGTCAGCCCAACATGAGGAAAGACCTTTCGACAGGAATCGCCCTGCTCCCCGCAAACACCAGACCTCGGCTCCACCCACCATGTCAGCAAGGACCCCCCACCCTCGCCAGCCTGTAACAAGGACCCCCGAGTCCCCTGCGGGGTGGTGTCAGACAACACCAGTGGGCACTAGAGCTTTCACTCCCACTGGTTGGTAAAGACACCCACCCTCACCCCCAAGGAGTCAGCAGAGACCACAGGGAAGCCCAAGATGTCACCCCCAAAGCCTCATGGAGTCAGTGGAGACCATGTGGGGAGCCTAGTCACCCCCGAAGCCTCACGGAGTCAGCAGAGACCATATGGGGAGCCTGGCCTCTTATCCTCACCCAGTAGTAAGAGCGTGCCTGTCCTGTCCCCCTCCATGCTGGGGGGTGTCAGAGGAGGTCAAGCGGGAGTCCAGACTTTCACCTACCCAGCAATAATGAGAATGTCCCAACCCCAGGGGCATCAAGGGGGCCACGAGGGGAGCTGGACTCCCATCCTTGCCTGGCAACAAGAAGGAGCCCCCACCCAGCCACCCACCCTCCCTCAGGTGTCACAAAGGCTGAGTGAGAGCCTGGACTTCCACCCCACCTGCCTGTAGCGAGGTGCACACCCCGCTTGACCTGCAGGAGTTGCGTCAGCCACAACAGGATGCTGAAATTACATCATACCCAAAATGCTTGCATCTCACTAAAAAATCCCTTGGCACACTAAACCACAAAGATCTCAAACTGAAAAACAATTAATAGACACCAACACTAAGACAACACAGACAGTAGAATTCGCCAAGAAAGATCTTAAAGCAGCCACCATAAAAATGCTTCAGTGAACAATAACAAACATGCTGGAAACAAATGAAAAAACACAGTCTCAGCAAAGAAATAGGAGAAATAAAAAAAATTTAGAACTGAAATGTACAATAATCAGAATTTAAAAACTTAATGAATCATCTCAACAACAAAATAGAAGAGGCAGAGAAATGATCAATGAACTGGAGGTAGAACAATAGAAATTATCCAACCTGAACAAAAGAAAAAATGGACTGAAAAAAAATGAACAAAGCCTCATTCCTTGTGGGACTATACAACATGATCTAACATTTGTGACATGGGGGATCTAGAAAAAGAGGAGAAAAGGAGTGGGGTTCAAAAAGCATTTCAGGAAATAATGGTTGAAAACTTCCTAAATTTGGTGAGATGTACACTGCAGATTCATGAAGCTGAGCAAACCCCAAATAGAAAACCCAAACAAAATCACACCAACACATACCATATTCAAACTTCTATAAGCTAACGATAAAAATAAAGAAAAAATCTTGGAAGTGGCCAGAGAAAAATGACACTTTACGGGCAAGCAATTTGAATAACAGTAATTGCTCATCAAAAATCCTGAAAGCTATGAGGAAGGGGCACCACATTTCTCACAGGCTAAAAAAAAAGAACACTGTCTACCCAGCATCCTATATCCAGTGAAAACATCCTTTGAGAATAAAAGAGCAATCAAGACACTCACAGATGAAGAAAAACTAAGAGAAGAAATTTGTAACCAGCAGATCTGTCTAAAATAATGGCAAAAAACAAACAAAAAACAAGTTCTCTAAACAGAAAGGAAATTACTAAAGAAGGAATCTTGAAATAACAGGAAAGAGGAAATACCACAGTAGGCAACATTATGGGTAAATAAAACAGACTTTCCTTCTTTAGTTTCCTAAAATATGTTTGATGATTAATGCAAAAATTACAATATTTTCTTATGTAGCACTAAAGGTATGTAGAGAAAATATTTAAGATAATTGTACTGTAAGCGGGAGATGACAGTGACATAAAGGCAACGTTTTTATACTTCACTCAAACTTTATGTATTAATGTAATCCATAAAGCAACCAAAAAAGCTATACTAAGTACATTCAAAAACACAATAGATAAACCAAACAAAATTCTAAAGGATGTACAAGTAACCCACTGGAAGCTGCAAAAAATGTAAACAGAAACTAAAAACAGAGAATAAATGAAAAATTAAAAACGAAATGGCAGACTTAGGCCCTAATATACAAATTATCACATTAAATATAAATGGTCTAAATACACCAACTGTAAGACAGAGATTAGCAAAGTCGATTTAAAAACATGACTCAACTACGTGCTGTCTACAAGAAACTCACTTCAAATATACCAAGATAGGAAGGTTGAAAGTAAAACGATGGAAAAAGATGTATCATGTGAACATTAATCAAAGGAAAGCAGGGGTGGCTATATTAACATCAGGTAAAATAAACTTCTGAGCAAAAAAAAAAAAAAAAAAAAAAAAGACCAGGGACAGCAGAGACAGAGAAGGACATTATATAATCCCACTATTACACAATTGACAAGAGGGTCAGTCCACCAAAACAAATTTCAATCCCTAACGTGTATGCAACAAACAAAAGAGCTGCCAATATGTGAAGCAAAAACACAACAGAACTGAAAGGAGAAACAGATCCACAATTATACTTAGGAGACTTCAATACCCCCTCTCAATAATAAAACTAGACAGAAAATCCACAAGAACTGAGAGGAAATCAATACCATCAGCCAACAGGATCTGATCAGCATTTACAGAACACTCCACCCAAAAGCAGAATATACATTCTTTCAAAGTGTCCACAGTATATCAAAACAGATAATATTCTGGGTCATAAGACAAATCTTAACAAATTTATAAGGACTGAAATAATAATGTGTTTTCCAATCACAACAGAATCAAAAAAGAAATTAATAACAGAAAGATAACAGGAAAATCTCAAAACACTTGGAAATTAAACAACAAAATTTGAAATAATGATGCATCAAAAAACACACTGAAATGAATGAAAATGAAAACACAGCCTATTAAGATTTGTGGGATGCAACTAAAGCAGTACTGAGTGGGGAAATTTATAGCATTAGATGCATAAATTAGAAAAGAGGAAAAGTCTCAAATCAATATCTCACCTCAAGAACCTAGAAAAAAGAAGAGCAAAATAAATCTAAAGCAAGCAGAAAGAAGGAATTAATAAAGTTCCAGCCAGTGCACTAAGTCAAGAAAAAGAAATAAAAGATATACAGATCAGAAAGGAAGAAATATTTGCAGATGACATAATTATCTACGTAGAAAATCTCAAGGAATTTAAAAAACAAAGGCCAAAAAATGGAAAAGCCTCCTACAACAAATAAGTAATCTCAGCAAAATTGCAGTATACAAGATAAACACACAAATATATCAACTACATTTCTATACACTAGCAACGAACATGTATACACTGTTATGGAATGAATTGTGAACCCATCACCCAATTCATATGTTGAAGCCCTAACCCACAATGTCACTGCATTTGAAGACAGGGCCTTTCAAAAGGTAATTACGGTTAAATGAGGTCACAAGGATGGCATCTTACTCCAACCTGACTGGATGTCCTTATAAGAAGACAGACACTAGCCGGGCATGGTGGCTCATGCCTGTAACCCCAGCACTTTGGGAGGCTGAGGCGGGTGGATCACCTGAGGTCCAGAGTTCAAGACTAGCCTGGCCAACATGGAGAAACCCCGTCTCTACTAAAAACATGAAATTAGCCAGGCATGGTGGCACATGCCTGTAATCCCAGCTACTTGGGAGGCTGAGACAGGAGAATTGCTTGAACCCAGGAGGAGGAGGTTGCGGTGAGCTGAGATTGCGCCATTGCACTCCAGCCTGGGCAACAAGAGCGAAACTCCATCTCAAAAAAAAAAAAAACAAACGAAAAAAAGATACCAGGGAGGACCATACACAGAAAAAAAAGACCATATGAAGACAAAGGGAGAAGATGCCAACTGCAAGCCAAGAAGAGAGGCATCAGGAGAAACCAACCTGCCAACACCTTAATCTCAGACTTCAAGCCTCCGGAACTGTGAGAGAATATATTTCTGTTGTTTGTCACCCAGTTTGTGATATTTTGCTATGGCAGCCCAAACAGACTAATGCAGATAACAAATTTCAAAATATGGTTTGATTTACTTAAGAAAAAGCATAAACTAAAAACATGTATAGTACTCATATGCTGAAAACTACAAAATGCTGAAAGAAATCAAAGATCTAAATAAATGGAAAGATATACCATGTTCATGGATTGGAAAACAACACAGTAAACACGTCAATTCTCCCAAAATTGATACACTGGCTTAATTGCAATTCCTAACAAAATCTGAGCAGGAATTTTTGTAGATATAGACAAGATTACTCTAAAATGTATACGGAAAGGCAAAGAAACTATAATAGTCAAAACAATTTTGAATAAAAAGAAGTTGGAGGAATCAAGTCTATCCACTTTCAAAACTTGCTGTAAAGCTTCATAACCAAGACAGTGTGATATTGGTACAAGAGTAAACACATAGTTCAATGGAACAGGATAAAAAACCCAGAAACAGACTCACATAAATATGCCCAACTTTTGACAAAGGTGCAAAAGTAATTCAATGGGGAGAGCTAAGTCTTTTCAACAAATGATGCTGGAATAAATGGATACGCACAGGCCAAAAAAAAAGTGACCTCAACCTAAACTTCACATCTTATACAAAAATTAAAGCTGGTCAGAGACTTAAATGTAAAAACACGAAACTTTAAAAAAGAAATTTGAGGAAAATCTTCTGAATTTAGGGCTAGGCAAAGAGTTTCCATAAAAGGAAAAACTGTTAAATCAGAGCTCATGGGAGTTAAAAAACACTTGTTCTGTAAAAGACCACATTAAGTAGATGAAACAACCAGCTACAGAGTTGAAAAAAAAATTGCAAACTGTATATATCCAACAAAGGACTAATATCTGGAATACACAAACCATGCTTAAAACTCAAGAGTATAAAAATGAACAATCCAATGAGAAAATGGGCAGAAGATGTGAAGATTTTGCAAATGGAAAATAAGGACATAAAAAGATGTTCAACATCATTATCCACCAGGGAAATGCAAATTAAAACAATATTATGCCCCAGGGAAATGCAAATTAAAACCACAATGAAATATCACTACACCTATCACAACGGCCAAAATAAAAACTAGTGGCAACACGGCATACCAAAGACGCTGTGACTGGATCTCTCAAAGTCTGCTGGTGGTGATATAAAACGGTACGACTGCTATGGAAAGTGGGCTGCTTCCCTGCTTCTTTCCTGGAAAGAAACAAGCAACTACCTGGTGACCCAGCACTTGCACTTCTGGGCGTCTGTCCCAGGGAAAGGAAAACCTATATTCACACAAAAACCTATAAAAGAATGTCCATAGCAGCTTTATTGGTAATACCTCACACTGGAAACAAGTCTTTCAACGGTGAATAAATAAAGTGTGCTGTACCTACACCCTGGAACAGCACTCAGCAGCAAGAAGGAATCAGCCACAGCCACAGTAACAACATGGATGAATGTTCAGAGAACAGTGTTGAGTGAAAAGAGCCAATCCCTAAACGATACACAATGCATAGCCGTGTTTATACAACACTCCTGAAATGACAAACTCATACAAGCGGAGAAGAGGGTAGTGGCTGCCAGGGGTTAAAGAGGACGTGAGGCTGGGAGTAGGGTGGGCCTTGGCTATAAAGAGCAGCATGAGGGATCCCTGTGGGGATAGAATGTTCTGGATCCTGACTGTCGCCATGCTGGTTGTGATGTGCTACAGAACTGTAAGACGTGACCACTGTGAAAACTGGGTACGGGGTACATGGATCTCCCTGTATTATTTATTAAACAGCATGTGAATATAAGATTACCCAAATATAAAGCTTAATTTAAAAAGCAGGCAAACCCAGGCAAGCTCTAGCCCTGTCTGTCCCCCCATGCTCCATCACGGCTCCCTCCCGTCTCCAGACTCTACCCCCGACCAAGCCTGAACTCCTGGCCCAGCTGTTCTCCCCATGCTGGAGGAAAGAGAGTGGACACTCGGCACCCAGTAACAGGCACGGGGGCAAGATGAGCCCGCACCACCTCCTCTAGACCCAACAGGATGTCCAGCCATGAGCAAAATGCCCCACTAGTTAACTTTTTAACCTAGAAATCAAACCAGCCAGAGAAAAGTCCATGTGTTTTTTTTCTATGTGACAAGAGGCAGCCAGGAACCACAGGCCAGAACCTGCCTCCACCTCCCCAGAGCTGTCTCCCCCACAGCCTCCACGGCCACACCAGGACCAGGACCAGCTAAGGAAGGGAAAGGGCTTCCTCGTGACCAGCTCTCTGGGGAAGAACTGCTCCACCCCCTGCACCAAGCCCCCATGGGCCCTTAGAAGCCCACCGTGAGGGGTCCCCTCCACAGGGCAGCTACAGGGGAGCACACGCACAGAGTCCCTAAAGAGCCCTCAGGCATCTGCCCCTCCAGCTGCCAAGGGCTGAACAAGAGGCAGTCACAGAGGGATGGAGGTGGGGCGGCAACGGTAGTCAGGGGCAGTCAGCACCCAGAGGCAGGTCAGAAGCCAGTTCCAGCCTGGCTGGGGCCACACAGGGCCCTGAGGGTCTCCCTGGGACGGGCACTCCCTGCCCATACATGCTGGCAGCCACTGCTGTCTGGGGACAGAGGTAACTCGGGGCTCCAAGAATGGGGAGGACCTCCTCCCGGGTGCTGGAGCCCCTCCAAAGCCAGCTGGACTGCTGCCAGCACCCCGCCCTGGGGCCATGCATTCAACAGAAGCCTTCTGGGCCCCCTTTCTGCAGACCTGAGACCAGCCCGGCCACCAGGAGGCTGTGTCCACCCAGGCCGGGCCTGGACACATTCACCCGTGGGCCTTGGAGACTCACCTGTCCTGAGCGTTCACCCCTGGGCTTCGGAGGCTCACCCGCCCTGAGCGTTCACCCCTGGGCCTCGGAGACTCACCTGCCCTAAGCGTTCACCCCTGGGCCTTGGAGGCTCATCACCCTGAGTGTTCACGCCTGGGCCTTGGAGGCTCACCTGCCCTGAGTGTTCACACCTGGGCCTCGGAGGCTCACCCGCCCTGAGTGTTCACACCTGGGCCTCAGAGGCTCACCCACCCTGAGCGTTCACCCCTGGGCCTTGGAGGCTCACCTGTCCTGAGCGTTCACCCCCGGGCCTCGGAGACTCACCTGCCCTGAACGTTCACCCCTGGGCTTCGGAGGCTCACCCGCCCTGAGTGTTCACCCCTGGGCCTCGGAGACTCACCTGCCCTAAGCGTTCACCCCTGGGCCTTGGAGGCTCATCACCCTGAGTGTTCACGCCTGGGCCTTGGAGGCTCACCTGCCCTGAGTGTTCACACCTGGGCCTCGGAGGCTCACCCGCCCTGAGTGTTCACACCTGGGCCTCAGAGGCTCACCCACCCTGAGCGTTCACCCCTGGGCCTTGGAGGCTCACCTGTCCTGAGCGTTCACCCCCGGGCCTCGGAGACTCACCTGCCCTGAACGTTCACCCCTGGGCTTCGGAGGCTCACCCGCCCTGAGTGTTCACCCCTGGGCCTCGGAGACTCACCTGCCCTAAGCGTTCACCCCTGGGCCTTGGAGGCTCATCACCCTGAGTGTTCACGCCTGGGCCTTGGAGGCTCACCTGCCCTGAGTGTTCACACCTGGGCCTCGGAGGCTCACCCACCCTAAGCGTTCACCCCTGGGCCTTGGAGACTCACCCGCCCTGAGTGTTCACACCTGGGTCGGGGGTGTTGTACCCAGAGGGCTCTGTGGCACAGGGCCACGTGGCCTGCCAGCGTGGACAGGCCCTAATGACACTCTTGGGCTGAAGAATGCATTTCGATGAGTGAGCAACAGCCATCCTCACCTAACAGGCATTTGTGAGCCGAAGGGGATGCCTGCTATTGCCCGGGCCTTACCCTGAGCTCTGGAGTCACTGAAGCTGAACAGACTCCGCACCCTCAGAGGATCAGGACTAACCCTGACAGTCCTCCTGCCCAGTGAGACCTGGGCCCCAGGTGGACAAAGCCCTTGTCCCACCCGCCAAGGGCATCTGTCTAGCTGCAGGCTGGGGCAGTCCTGAGGAGCCTGGAAGGACCTCTCACACCACGCCCACCATGGCTGATTCCAGCTCACTCGGAGACCCGGCCTTGGCTGGGACCCTCAGGAGTTAAATGTGTGTTTTCCAGCTCTTCTCAGAAGCAGCAGAGGCCCGCGAGAGGTGGGAAAGGGGAGGGCACCCGCAGAGGCCTGCGCACTGACACTGCTGAGTGGCTCTGCTCAGCTCTCCTTCCTGAAGAGGACAAAGGTCACGTGGCCTCCAGCCAGGGCTCAAGGACACCAAGTTCCGGCAGCCACAGGCAGAGAGCGGAGACAAGGACAGCTCCGCCGTGGCGAGCAGAGGCTCAGCTGCTCCCACTGAGGCCCAGGGCCTGACGGAGGCTCCCGCCCACAACAACTGAGCCCCGCTAGGGTCTCTCTCACTTCCTGCTCTCGCTGGCCTGGTGTGTCCCACTGGAAGCCCCAGGCCCGCACCCTGTGCCCCCAGCCCACAGTGGGCTCCACATCAGGCGGGCACCAGGAGGCCTCAACAATGTCCCCACAAGTAGCTTCCATCCCCGAGGACGCAGGCCTGAAATGGGCTCACCTGCTTGCGGACCGGGAGGCCCAGGCCCCGCACGTCCGAGACAATGAAAGTGATGATGGTCTTGACGATGGTGGCAAAGAACGTGTTGACCCCGAAGACCAGGGCACAGAGCTCTTTAGACAGAGAAGATGCAATCTGAAAGCTGAACGGGAAGAGCGGGCAGATCAGGCGCTGCTGGGAGAATAAGCAGCAGCCACAGGGAAAAGCCTGCAGCCCGGCTCCCACCAGCCCATGACCCGCCCGGCAGCCACGGGGTCCCAGGGCACGCACAAGCCCCCCACCAGGCCCCCATCTCTCCCACACATGCCCGCCCCTGCCAGGCAGGAGCCAGCACCCAGGCCACCCTCGAGGGGCCATTCTGGGAGCTGCCGTGTCCCCCTGGCTCAGTACAGAGTGAGGGTCCCTTATCCAAAATGCCTGGGGCCAGTAGTTTTGGATTTGGGAATATTCACATGTCCATAATGAGATGTCTTGAGGATGGAACCCAAGTCTAAACACGAAATGCATTTATGCTCATATGCACTGTACACACACAGCCAGAAGGTGATTTTATATAATACCTGACAAACATTTGCAAGCCAAAGGGGTTGCCTGCTACTGCCCAGGGCCTCACCCTGAGTTCTGGAGTAATTTTGTGCATGAAGAAACTTTTGACCGTGTTCTGAGACTCGTCAAACAAGGTCAGGTACAGGATTTTCCACCGGGTTGTCTTTCCGGTGCTCAAAAACTGTCAGATTTTGGAGTATTTCAAATTCTGGATTTTTTGTTATTTTTTTTTAGATGGAGTCTCGCTCTGTTGCCCAGGCGTGCAATGGCACAATCTCAGCTCACTGCAACCTCTGCCTCCTGGGTTCAAGCAATTCTCCTGTCTCAGCCTTTCGAGTAGCTGGGATTACAGGCACGCGCCATCATGCCCAGCTAATTTTTGTATTTTTAGTAGAGACAGAGTTTCACCATGTTGGCCAGGCTGGTCTCGAGCTCCTGGCCTCAGGTGATCCACCCACCTCAGCCTCCCAAAGTGCTGGGATCACAGGTGTGAGCCACTGCGCCCAGCTGAATTCTGGCTGTTTTGATTAGGGATGCTGAACCTATACAATGGGTGTCACAAAACACAAACTCGAGAAGATACCTGGAAGGGCTCCCATGAGCTCTGGGACAGACCAGGTCACGGGCGTCTCAAAACATTCAGAAAATCATCATCAAGAGAACCTCTGGGCACAGACAGAAAAGTCTAGAATGAAAGTCTTTCACGGTTAAATGTTTGATAAATTAGAAGAGCAGTGAAACCACAGAGTCGGTGAATGAGCAGCAGCCAGGCAGGGCAGGCCCTGGAGTTGAGTGGCAGCTGGGCAGAGCGGGCCCTGGAGGTGAGTAGCAGCTGGGTATGCCCGGGAGGGCCCTGGAGGTGAGTGGCAATTGGGGGGGAGGGGGGCCTGGAGGCGGGGCAGGCCCTGGAGGTGAATAGCAGCTGGGTATGCCCGGGCAGGCCCTGGAGGTGAGTGGCAGCGGGCAGGGTGGGCCCAGGAGGTGAGAGGCAGCCAGGCAGGGCAGGCCCTGGAGGTGAGTGGCAGCAGGTTAGGACGGGCCCTGGAGGTGAGTGGCAGCGGGCAGGGTGGGCCCTGGAGGTGAGTGGCAGCCAGGCAGGGCGGGCCCTGGAGGTGAGTGGCAGTCAGTTACTGCGGGCCCTGGAGGTGAGTGGCAGCCGGGCAGGGCGGGCCCTGGAGGTGAGTGGCAGCCAGTTACTGCAGGCCCTGGAGGTGAGTGGCAGCAGGGCAGGGTGGGCCCTGGAGGTGAGTGGCAGCCAGGCAGGGCGGGCCCTGGAGGTGAGTGGCAGTCAGTTACTGCGGGCCCTGGAGGTGAGTGGCAGCCAGGCAGGGCGGGCCCTGGAGGTGAGTGGCAGTCAGTTACTGCGGGCCCTGGAGGTGAGTGGCAGCAGGGCAGGGTGGGCCCTGGAGGTGAGTGGCAGCCAGGCAGGGCGGGCCCTGGAGGTGAGCGGTGGCATGAACATGTCCAGGAATGAAGGCACCACATTCCTGACATGGAGAGGTGACACGCCAGGCTTCTGGTGCTCTGCAAAGAAACTAGTCTTCCGATGCAGTTCCAATTAAAATCTGCAAAGTGCTTAAAAAAAAAAAAAAAAAAGAACTGGACAAAAAATGTCCTAAAGTTCACCTGAAGAAAAAATAAACAAAAATGCCCAGGAACCCTTTGGAGAAGGGCAGAGGTGTCTGTGCTGCTGGGCACTGGAGACGGGGGGACAGTGGGGACAGTGGAGGCTCGGGGGCAGGCAGGCAGGCCGGCAGCAGGGAGGACGAGAGAAGCACACAGAGGTCCCGGTGAGCAGGTCAGTGGGATGAAGGGCAGACGAACAACAGGGAGAACTGAGCACAAACACGAGCTTCTGGATGCCAGCGCTGGGCAGGGCAGAGCCCAGGCCAGCCCCCAGGGTGCTTCCAAGGACACTCAGAAACACTGTGAGTTGAATTAAAGGCAGACGAGTGTGGGGCGTGATGGGGGCACAGGTGATTGAAAATACATGATACAGATGAATGCTCCCCAGATCAGCAGGGAGGAAAGCGAGTCCCAACAGAGTCAGGAGACACACAGGGGCCACTCAGTCCACAGCAGGCCGGCCGGCCTCACTCTGGTTAAGGAAAGGCTGGGAGCCCAGCCGGCCCGTCAGGGGCTCAGGGAGGGTGGGGAGGCCACTCCACCATCCTGACGGGGAGGAAGCCCGCATGCCGGCCTGCAGGGTACCTGCAATATTGACAGAAACCTGCTTTCAAAAGCACATACTCTCCAACCTGGCCATTCCCCTTCCAGGAATCCACCTGAGGGTCATTATTAGAATTTGGAAACAAAAATGTAGGTAGAAGGGCATTCATCTCAGTGTTTTCCTCGTGTAAGAAAAATGGAAATGGTGACTTTACCCATAGACTGGGGATGGGTTGTAAGGCCCACCACTCATGACCGGGAGTGACCACCTGCATCTGTGAGTGACCATCTGCATCTGTGTCTGGCATCAACCCAACACAGACAAGCAGAAAATGCTGGGATTCCCCGTAGCAAACAGCAGTTTTCTGCTTTGCACGCTGCGGCACCGTGTTGGATTTTTTTGCGATGGGCATCAATGACTTTATAACTAAAACCTTTCAGGCGTTGTCCCCCTGGCTGCAGCAATGGGACAGCACAATGGCAGAGGCCCTGGCCCTTTCCACAGTGCTGGCAGGTCAGTGGGGGGGCCCAAGCAAGATCACGCTGGGCCTTCACGAGCCAGGGACGGCAAGAGCCCAGTGTGGGCCTCGGGGAGCCTGGAGAAGGCGGCCACACAGGAGCAGAAGGGGCCCCGAGTATGGCAGGGGCGGGAGAGAAGGGTGGGCCGGGCTGCCCATGCCGGGAGACTGCTGCCTGCATGTGGGGAGGATGGGGAAGTACAGGGCCGGGCACATCCAGGCAGGATGCTGCAGGGGTGAGGCCACTGACACAGAGGGCCCAATGCAAGGGTCAGGAGGGTGCTCTCAGCTCAAACAGGCTCGTGACCAGCATAAGGCCCAGGGGGATGACCCACGGAGGGAGGGAGATAGGGCTCGGAGGCCACCCTGGAGGGGAAGCCCAGGAAGGGGTACTGAGCTGGGGCCAAAGTCCTCCCAGCGGGCAGGAAAGAGGGGGCAGGTCCAGGGAGCAGGACCCTGTGAGCACACAGGGTCAGTGTCTGAGTGTGTCAGTGTGTGTGGTCTGAGTATGTGGTGGGAGTGTGTCAATGTGTGGGTGTCTCCATGTGTGAGCGTGTGTCCATGTGTGAACGTGTCCATGTGTAAACGTGTGGTGTGTCCATGTGTGAACGTGTGGTGTGTGTCCATGTGTGAGCATGTGTTGTGTGTCCGTGTGGTGTGTGTCCATCTGAGCGTGTAGCATGTCCATGTGTGCTGTGTCCATGTGTAAGCATGTGGTGTGTTCATGTGAGTGTGGTGTATCCATCTGTGAGTGTGTGGTGTGTCCATGTGAGTGTGTGGTGTGTCTGTGTGGTGTGTGTCCATGTGTAAGCATATGGTGCATTCATGTGAGTGTGGTGGGTGTCTGTGAACATGTGGTGTGTCCCTGTGAGTGTGTGTGTGTCCGTGTGTAGTGTGTGTCCATGGGTAAGCATGTAGTGTGTTCATGTGAGTGTGGTGGGTGTCCGTGTGTGTGGTGTGTGTCCATGTGTAAGTATGTGATGCATTCATGTGAGTGTAGTGGGTGTCCATCTGTGAGCATGTGGTGTGTGTTCGTGTGTGGTGTGTCTGTGTGGTGTATCCATCTGTGAGCGTGTGGTGTGTTCATGTGAGTGTGCATTGTGTGTCCGTGTGTGTGTGGTGCGTCCATGTGTAGTGGGTGTCCATGTGTGATATATCCATGTGTGAACATGGTGTGTGTCCGTGTGTGTGGTGTGTTCATGTGCGATATATCCATGTGTGAGTGTGGTGTGTTTGTCCATGTGTGCACGTGTGGTATGTGTTCATGAGTGTGTGGTGAGTGTCCATCTGTGCGCATGTGGTGTGTTCATGAGTGTGTGTGTGTCCATGTGTGAGCGTGTGGTGTGTGTGTGGTGTGAGTGCCTGGTGTGAGTGTAAGCTGAGGATGAACTCACACAGGTGCAAGCTCCCGCTCCTGCCTGGATGGGGTCTCAGCAGCCCGGGGCCTAGAGGGTGGGGTTGGGAGCAGGGCAAGGCTGTGAGCCCAGCAGGCTTCAGAGAGGAGCGTGGAGGGCCTGGGGGAGCAGCAAGACGGCACAGGAAGGGACGCCCGAGGTCCCAGGGAGAGGCAAGTGGGGACCCTGGTCAGCTCCAGGTGGCTGGCGGGGCCAGCAGTGGCACAGCCGCTGGGGCGCAGCAGGAAGGTGGGAGCACCCAGCGAAGCGCGGGGCTTGATCCTGGCGCCTGCCCGCCCCCGGCTTCCCACCCTTCTGGAACTCACGTGGCGATGGGCACGAGGAACTGGTAGGAGCCGCGGAACAGCACGAAGGCCGCATAGCACAGCCAGATGCTGCTCGGGTGGCGCGTGTGCGCCAGAAGGAAGACCAGCCCCGCCTGCGTGGCCGTGACGCCCGCGATGAGCAGCTTGGACCAGCGCGCCCAGCGGATCTTCACGAAGCCCGCGGCGAAGGACGTGATGGCGCCTGAGAGGGGAGGGATGGGGCGTTGCAGCGGCCCTGGGGGGCCACGGGGCAGGGGGAGGTAGCGGGAGCTTCTGAGGAAAGGTATCCACGGGGCAGGGGGCGGGGACGGGGAGCCTCCGGGGAAGGATCCACGGGGCAGGGGGAGGTGGCAGGGAGCCTCCGGGGGAAGGATCCACGGGGCAGGGGGCGGGGAGGGGGAGCCTCCGGGGGAAGGATCCACGGGGCAGGGGGCGGGGAGGGGGAGCCTCCGGGGGAAGGATCCACGGGGCAGGGGGAGGTGGCGGAGAGCCTCTGGGGGAAGGTATCCATGGGGCAGGGGGCGGGAGAGGGAGCCTCCGGGGGAAGGATCCACGGGGCAGGCGGAGGTGGACGGGAAGCCTCTGCGGGAAGAAGCCTCGGGGACCAGGGCATGCGTACCCAGCAGCGTGGAGGCAGCATCTGCCGCGCCGTTGTAGACCCGCGCACTGTTGGTGGTGGGGTCCACCTCGTTCCACAGGATGTGCACGTAGTAGACCACCAGGTAGTAGCCGGCCGAGTTGAAGACCCACCAGAGGGACCACAGGCGCAGCTGCGGCCGCCGCAGGCTGTCCCCCAGCTCCCGCAGCATCCGCGCCAGCACTGAGTCCCCACAGGCCACCCGCAGGGCGTGTCCCAGCTTCCCGCCTGGGCCAGGATTCATGCGCTCCAGCTCCGAAGCCGAGGTTTCGCACCGCCCCCGGTCGTCGCGGTTGAAGAAGAGGCTGCGCTTGGGGCGCTTCAGGAAGAGGGCGAGGACCACGCTGAAGGTGAGGAAGGCCAGCGAGATGTAGTTGAGCGTGGAGAAGGAGACTCGGCCCACAGTGACCAGCAGCTGGCCCAGCACGGAGCTGGTGAACACGCCCAGCAGCACCGCAGCGCGCGAGTAGCCGGCCACACGCTGGTAGCGCGCGGGCCGCACGAGAGAGAAGATGTAGGAGGAATAGGCGATGCGCGCGGCCATGGTGACGCTGTAGAAGAGCTCCATGAGCTGCATGTGCGCCACCGAGTGGCCCAGCAGCAGCAGCAGCCACACCGACACGAAGCTGAGCCCCTGCAGCAGCAGCACCGGCGTGTAGCGCAGGTAGTCGGTGAGCAGGAACACGGGCACCAGCACGGCCAGGTAGGAGTACGACAGCACCGGCGTGATCTCGTTCGTGACCTGCGGACAGGCGGGCGTGCGCCCCACCAGGTGTTAGCAATGCTGCCGCTGCGGCAGACACAGCCCGCCCGAGGTGATGGCTGCTGACGGCTTCCTGCCCCAACACTGCCTGGTGGGACCCCTCTCCCCAACACGCCCCTGTCCCATGTCCCACTGCATCGTCCTCTCTGAACAGGGACCTCTGGCTCCCGACCGTCCCGGCAGCCTGGGAGCGTTCGCCTGCGGAAAGCTGGCAGTGGCCACAGAAGGAATCGTTATTAACAAGCCTGTTCATCTAAGCTTCTCTATTTTTATCTCTTTCTTGGGACAGAGTCTTGCTCTGTCGCCCAGGCTGGAGTGCAGTGGCACGATCTTAGCTCATTGCAACCTCCACCTCCCAGGTTCAAGCAGTTCTCCTGCCTCAGCCTCCCGAGTAGCTGAGATTACAGGTGCGTACCACCATGTCTGGCTAATTTTTGTATTTTTAGTAGAGATGGGGGTTTCACCATGTTGGGCAGGCTGGTCTCGAACTCCTGACCTCAGGTGATCTGCCCACCTTAGCCTCCCAAAGTGCTAGGATTACAGGCACCAGCCACCACACCCAGCCAGCTTCTCTATTTTTAATAGAATCAAAACATGGTTTTATTTCATTTTAAACAATATGGAAAACACAGCTGTAACCCATACACATTCACACCAGCACAAGCTTCTTCCATCCTTCCTGGAGAGAGACAAAAACAGAAGACACAGAAAGGAAGGGCAGGATCAGGGACAGCAGGTTCGTGGGAGGGACTGTTCGTGGGGGAACCCGGCAGGGGAAGAAAGACAGGAAGGGGAAGAAGGGGAAAGAGAGGAAGTGGGGTAGGGCAGAGGGCCCTGGGCTGTGCACTCCCATCTCACACTTGTCCCCAGAGCAAGGTCTTTAAGGCCAGACTCCAACCCAGGAGCAGGGAGGGGGGCAAACGCCCCTGTAGCCGCCCTGCACCCTCCCAGGAGGGGGAGCACAGGCTGTCAGCCTGCCCACCCCCACCTCCTCCATCACATGTTATGTGGGAACCCAGCTCCACAGCCTTGGCCACTGAGCTGCTGGTGGACACTCCAGGCCTGGCTTCCATGCCTGTGGCCTCAACACACATCCACCTTCCATGGGAACGTGGAGCTGGGCACGGGGCTGGGGGTGCTACCTCCTACAGGACAAGGTCAGAGGACACTGCCCCAGACTACTACAGGCAGGCACCAAACGTCCTCAGCTGTCTTGGCAGGGGCCAGGGCTGCTGTGGGCACACCTGGGCACACCTGGGCACAGTCCAGAGGAAGAGGCCCCACCCCTGTGAGGCCAAGCCGCTTGCCTTGCCCCTCCCTGGGGACTGATGTGGGAGCCACCCTATGCTTGGAGCCTCCCCTGGGGCCCAGGTGCATTTTCAGCAGGTGGCCCCGCCCACAGGCCCCACCAGACCCCACCTCAGATCCACTGGAGGTTGGTACCAGATGAGCCAGCAGGGCCCTGCTGGACTCTGGGCCTCCAGCAGGCCCCACCCGACTCAGGCCTGACCACCAGTAACCCCACAGCCCCACTCGTGCTGCCCCAGGTGACCTCAGCCCCTGCCAGCCACACTTGGCAGGACCAAACCCTGGGTCAGCACGTGGGGTGCTGCGCCGAGCCACGCCGCCTCCCCGGGGGCTCTCAGCCTCGTGTCTGGCACACCCAAGATGTGTGGCCCGATGTGCTCAGAGCCCGGCCACCGGCTACTGTGAACAGCTGGGCAATAGGACCCTGCAGCCAGGCCGGCATGCTGAGAAGCTTCCCAGGGGCTCAGGGGAAGGCTGCCCAGAGACCCCACCTCAGGGCACCCTGAGGTCGCACCCTGGAGCCTGCACCCTCATGGAGGCCAGGCTGACCCAAAGGCTGTGGTCCCAGCAGCACCAGGCACCCAAGGTCCCTCCGGCACTCCGTCCTGCTCAGGACATTCCGGGACACTCTGAGGGCAGGTTATGTGCCAGGAGGCTGAGTGAGCCCGCCGGGTCACAGAGAGCCTCAGGGCCAGCCATCGGCTTCTGCACTGTGTTTACAGCAATGTCCTGGGGACATCAAACAGCCCCTCTGTGGGCAAGCTCTCCTGGCTGATGGCCTGCTCGACTGGGGGAGGCTCCTCCTCAGGGCCAGCCCAGGGAACCCCTGCAGATTCCGAAAGAAGCGGCTCAGAGGCAGGGGTCCTCCTAGGACCTCAGGGACCCCCGACCCCCAGACACAGGAGGCTGCGTGGGGGCATGACAGCCCCAGCCCCTGGCCGGGGCACAGGTTCTGCCCACAGCCCAGAGTCAAAATGGTAGACAGCCAGCAGAGAGGCTCTCCCCAGACCCCACGGCTCTCTGGAAAAGGGCGGCCAGGGGTCCTAGAAGCCTCACCCACCTCCGAATGAATGGAGCATGCCTCATTTCCTCTTCCACCAGGAGCTGGCTCTGCAGGCTGGGGCCTCATCAGGCACCTCCTGGTCTTAGTTGAGGGTCTGAGCGCAGAGCTCCCCCTTGGCAGCCACCCAGAGCCCTCCCGCTCCTCTCCCTGCACCTCCTCAACGGCCCCTACTCCCTCTTCCTCAGCCTTGGCAGGCAGACAGCAGGGAGGCTCTGCCCAGAGCTGTGACCTGCGTCCCACTTACAAGGCTGCTGGGGGAGGGGCCCTCACAACGGTCCCAGCAGGGAGGTGGCATCTGTCAGGCGGCCACGACTCTGACACGAGGACAGCCTCCTGCTGCCTGAGCCCAGCGTCGGCCCTGCTCTCCACAGGTCTTGGTTGGGGTCCAGGCTGAATGGGCAGAGTGCAGGCAGCTGCGCCCAAATCTACGTCCAGACGGCCTCAGGGCGGCTTCTCTGAACAGGGAGGCGGGAAGGTGGGCAAGGCCCGAAGGCAGGCAGGACGCGAGGGCAGGGCCAGGCGTGGGGCAGCAGGACTGGATGCCACAGAAGGGCACCCAACAGGGGCTGGCTGGGGACGGGGCATGGGCCGCAGGTCAGGAGGGACTGCTGTGCACAGGGTCCTGGGCCGGGGGGTCTCCCTGGAGGAGGGCGGGGGCTGCAGCTCCCACCACACAGCACAGTTCCAGCGGGGGCCCAGGCAACCTCAGTGCACCCAGGAGCACCTCACGGACTCGGCCGGGGAAAGCGCTCTCAGCTGACACTCAAAGCAGAAACCCTGGAGGGAAATTTGGCCAAATTCAAAATGACTCCAGAGAAACACCGTATGTAACACACAACCAGTCCAATCCCAAGGGCACGGGGTCCCCAGGAGGCAGAAAAGGGAACCAGGTCCGAGGAGGACAGCAACCACAGGGCTGCCAGGAAACACTGGCCCACGGCGGGAGAAATGGCGGCAGAGCAAATGTGAGCAAAGGAAACCACGCTCCTCACAGCGGCCAGACGGCCGGCGCTCAGCAGCCCACCCGAGCTGGTGAGGGGAACGTGGGCAGCCCGTGGCAGGCTGCAGAGGAAGCAGCATTCGCCCCAGGAGTGAACTGGAAGTGCCAGCCCGGGCCAGCTGGGTCAAGGCCCACTGCCTGAGGCTGCCAGCTCGTGCTCTACCTGCAGCCATCACCTGCAGTGGGAGAAGCCGGAATCCCCTAATCACCTCCAGCAAAGCAGCAGATAAGCACCTTGTAGTTCAACCCAGGAGGCGCAGCTTAAGAACAGCCTCGAACCCACGTGGAACGTCTCTCAAGTCAGATTGGGCAGGAGAGCAACTTGCGAAAGCTGGGTCACAAGACACCACTTACGTGAACTTCCTAGACACAAGCCTGGCAACAACAGGGGCTGGCGAGTCCTGGCAGGCTGGGCCTCCCTTGCCCCCGAAGCTGCTCCCCGCCCACCTACTGGTGGCTGCCCCTGCACCCCGGCGCCCACGTGCCTGCTCCCGCGTGAAGTTCTTGTCGGGCCCCAGGAGGGAGGGCGTGATGAAGCTCTCCCCGGGCCTCTCCTGCAGCCAGAGGGGCTGAGATCGGGGGCCCCACCAAGTGGCAGGTGCGCAGAGCACCTGCACCCATCGTCCCTCTGATGATATCCAAGGCCTGGTGGAATGGCTTAATTTCTGGAATCTACTTTTTAATCCGTTAATGTACAACATGAGAGGGCAGGCAGATGGGATTTAAACATTTTTGCTCTAGAGACTTTTCTTATTTTGTTATTTTAAGGGAAACGCCACACATAATGCTCACCCCTATAAATAACCTTGGCGGTGGACAGTGGCCCTCCACTAAGAGCAGAGATGCCATCTGGTCAGTGGGTGGCAGGGAGAGGGACGGACTGGCCAGGAGCAGAAGGCATTTCATGAGGGGTCAAGGAGATGGCTCCGCCGCTCCAGCCCCAGCCCCGCCACCGACAGCCGGAGCCAGGGCAAGACCCTGTCCTCGCCTAGAAAGTGACCCAGCCTGGCGGTTAGCAGTGCTGGCCGTGGGACGAGACACAATCACACCGCACGGTGCTCTGAGCTGGGCACGCGGGAAGGGCAGCACCTCCACTGTCCCAATAGCACACTCCTCAGCTGCACATCAGTTTCACAATTCTAGGGTCTGGGAGGGTTGGGGTCCGGCTTCCGGCCAGGAGACACAGGGAACAAGAGGCATGCCGAGCGTCAGCCATGTGGGAGCAGAGGACGGGGTCAGCGGCTGGGATGGGCAGGTGAGCAGGCCCAGGGCCCTGGGATGGGGTGTCGGGGTGACCAGCTGGGCCGGCAGCCTGTGAGAGCGCTTTTCCAGGCTCTTCCTGTGCAGATGTGCCTTATGGACAAGGACCCCACAGCTCCAGGAGGAAACTGCTTCGGATACGGCCGCTCCCGCCTCCACCGCTCATGTGACCTGAGAGACCCGTGACTGGGCATAAGCCTATTAGAACAGTTTCAATAAGACCCTTTGTCCTCATGGCTGAGTAAAATGAAAATTCCTTCAATAATCTCTTTAGGTAAATAGCCACTAAGTCTCTGTGGAAGGCAGGTGCCCAGCAGGGTTGGACGTGGGCTTCCTCACCAGGAGGGCCGATGAGCACGGCCTGGCGGGTGGGGTGGGGCAGGCTCTCTCTCTGCAGGACACAATATCACTTTTTATCTAGCCTGGTTACTAGGCCGAAGCCAGGCCCCTCCATCTGATGGTGCCCGCTGCTGGGAGTGTGAGACCCCAGCCGGGTTCCCTCCAGGACCATATTATCAGCTGACACGGCCACTCACCCGCTCCAGCCTCAAGTGCTCACACATCCAACAGGAAAAGCGCCCTGGCCCCTGAAGCTGCTCCCCGCCCACCCATAGGCGGCCGCCCTGGCACCCAGCACCCACGTGCCTATTCCAGAAGCTGCTCCCCGCCCACCCACAGGCGGCCGCCCAGCACCCCGGTGCCCACATGCCTATTCCAGAAGCTGCTCCCCGCCCACCCACAGGCGGCCGCCCGGCACCCCGGCACCCACGTGCCTATTCCAGAAGCTGCTCCCCGCCCACCCACAGGCAGCCGCCCTGGCACCCAGCGCCCACGTGCCTATTCCAGAAGCTGCTCCCTGCCCACCCACTGGCGGCCGCCCCCGCATCCCGGCGCCCACGTGCCTATTCCAGACGCTGCTCCCCGCCCACCCACCCACAGGCGGCCGCCCGGCACCCCGGCACCCACATGCCTGCTCCCGCGTGAAGTTCTTGTCGGGCCCCAGGAGGTAGGGGGTGATGAAGCTCTCCCCTGGCCGTATCTGCGCCATGAAGCCGTAGAAGCAAAGGTAGCACACGAGGTGCCGCCAGGACCGGAGCTCGGGGTCAGGCCCAGGTTCCACGGGCACCTGCTTCTCCACCGCTGGGCTGGAGGGCACCATCCTGCTCAGGCCACGTGCAGCTCCGGAGGGGACGAAGGTGACGCTGTGCCTGGAAGGAGGGGTGGAGTCAGGGCACCTTGGAAGATGGTCTGCAGGCCTCCCTACCCCGCAAAACGAGGCCCAGTGCCGGCCTCCTCGCCACTCAGGACCAAACGCCACCCTGGAGACGAATGCAGACCCCAGACCCATCCTCACCCCGTAGCACCAAACTGGGAGCCACCCACACCTGAGCTGCTCCGGAGTCCCCCAGGCCAGGCTGTCACCACCTCCAGGGTCTCCGAGGCTGAGGGAAGTCTCCAGCCACATGGAGTGATTTAAGTGCCAATCAAAACCAAGTTAATTAACTAATTGACTTACTTTATTAACTAAACTAACAAAATTTAGGGTTTGGGGCCACACTAGACTCATGGCACTGCTGGGCAGTACCTGTGGCGGTCAGGGGGCACACCTCACCCCACAGGCCTGAGGGCAGCCCACGTGCCTGCTGCTGCTCTAGCGGCACCCAGGTGGCCCAGGGAGGGCACAGGCAGGAACGGACGCTGCTGGAGGCCGGGGTCACACCACAGGTGGCCAGCGGCGGGTGGCTGCAGGTACCAGCCTCAGGTCCCCATCAGCCGCGTGCCCTGGCAGGAGGGCGTGCAGGCCAAGCCCACAGTGAGGGAAGGGCAGAGGGAAAAGCAGGTGTCCTTGAGGGGGCTGAGAGCAGCCAGGGTTGAAACACGCGTGGGAGGGAGGATGGGATGGAGCCGAGGCCCAGCCCCTGAGCCCAGGGACCCCAGCATCCCCGGCGGCAGGTTACCCTAGACGAAAGCAGCTGGCAGGAGCCATGAGTGGACCTGACACGTTCCAGATGGAGCACCCCAGACCACAGGACTTCATCCACGAGGCAACATGCACCCAACCTTGGGGACCATCCCGCCAGCACCCCCGCCCCACACGGCCAGGGCACGTGGTGGAGCAGCAGCAGCACGAAGCACACTCGAGGGCGTGTCTCTTTCAGTCCTGATTCTGCCCAGGAGAAAGGCTCCTCCGGTGCGGGCAAGGGCACGTCTCACCACCACAAATCGTGCCTTTCAGCTGCGGGGCAAAAGCCTGTCCACTTATCAGAATCATGTCTCCAGGTGCCACGTGGCCCTGGTTTTCCATTAAGGCCTCGGTGTAAAGTTCTCCTTCAAGTAAGTCAAAAGTGAACTGCCATAAACAAGTGTGTCAGACGCCCACACCAAGCCAACCCCGTGAGGCCAGGACCTGGCCCTGGTCCCCCACAGGTGCACCTCACGTCTGTATCAGCTGACCTCTGCTCCCGGAGGCCAGGCCTGGCAGAGTGCACGTGGAAAGGCCATCTGCTGCTCAGGTGGGGTGGGGATGCAGCGCATGCAGAGGGCAGCTGAGCAGCCTTGTGGGGCGGGGTCGCCGTCCCATCTGCACTGGGCTGACAGTTGGACAATTGTGCCTCGCCACAGGGCCGGCTTGGGAGGGTGGCAGGGGGTCTGCAGAGGGTCTGGATTTGAGAAGTCTCCTCCAACCCTCCAGCAGGGGCTCAGAGCATCCCTCGATGTGGGGCCAGCTTTGGGGGTCCAGGGACCCCTAGGAAAATCTGCCCCAGGCTCTCAGCATTCAGTCTTCACGTATCAGAGACCACTCAGGCTGGAAGTGCTCCCTGAACCGCCCCCAACCTGACACACAGGCTTAGGAAAAAGGTGGCCTTCAGGGACCAGAGAGAGAGACCCTCCCCAGGCCACTTAGGCAAAGCCATCAGCATCATCTGGGGTCCCGTCTTGACACCTCTACACACTCATGTCTGTGACAAAGGAACATAGGTGATGGCAGGGAAGCCCTTAAGAGGCAGAGGCTGGTGGGCTTGCAATGGGGGCCGCAGGGAAGAGGGGGAAGGGTTAGGGGAACCTCGAGGTTTCCGGAGCTCCACGGCAGGGCACAGCTGGGAAGAAGATGGGACCAGCACCCTCCATTGGAGGCAGCCAGGACCCTAGAAGTTCTCAAAGGGCCAGGATGAAAACAGCCGGCCAGGCAGGAGGAAGCGCAGGCAGGGGCCACTGCCAGGCCGAGGCAGATCTGACGGTCGCCTGCCTCGGCCTCACCTTCCATGCCTCCTCAGGGCCTGTCAACAGCTGGGAAGATCAGTGCACAAAGGTTGGGCTCCATCACCAGGGACCCTGATGCCCAGAGAGGCCACGGGTAGAGCTGGACATACCTCAGACCGCACCCACTCCTCCCCACTGGGAGACCCATTTGGCCCTGGGACTCCCTGTCAAGTTCACTTTCCCACCTGTCAGCAGGTTTAGACAGGCGCACCGATCCCCAGACAACCAGAGCAACCAGATCGCCGCAGACAACGGGGAGCCATCAGGAGCTGAACTAAGCCCAGGGTCTGCGCCCACAGTCCATGGCCGCAGGAGTCAGATCCCCACCCACAGGACCCCCAGGGGCCCGGGAGCCCTGGGTACTTGGGCCCCCTGTTCTGAAAGGTGCCACCTCCAGAAGCGACCAGAACATTCCTTCCTTGGAGAGACAGCCAGAGTCTCCGCCAGCAAGGGGCTGCTGCTGGTCTTAACAGTCAGCCTCTGCTGCCAGCATACTCAACTTATGTGCCGTGAACGTAGCCCACTGACAGAGGCTTGGCCATCACGGCCCAGACCACCTCCAAGAGGAAAGATAGGGAACTTGGTCACCATCATAGAAACGCAGCCCCAAGCCAGGGGACGCCTAGACTCCAAGTGTCCAGACCCCAGCCCAGTCCCATACAGCTTGAGGCCTCTTCCCGGCATCTGAAGGAAGTCCCCGACCAGACAGGAGGGCCACGGGGAAGCAGAGAGAATCCCTGCCTTCAGGAGAAGGTTGTAACAGCCCCTGCAAATCCCCGGCCCCACTGTCCACAGTGACCAGCCCCACCCAGGCCCTGTCCTTCCAAGCACCAGAGAAGGCCAGAGACCCGCAATCAAAACACAAGCAAACGCCACCTATCATTCCGTGTTTAAACCAGCTCCTACTCTGGAAGGCTAACCAAGAATGTTCGTTATGTTTTTTAGAACGCCTGCTAGTTTAAAAAGAAGAAGAAGAAAGCATTGCACACCCTCCCACCCCTGTTCAGATGACCAAGTTCAGGGTTCCTAACAGCATAATTAGACCCTCCGGCTATCACTGCTGCAGGCCCAAACACCCGAGAAGCACTCTTTCTCATCTGTGTCCAGCAGAGATAACTGTACTATCTGGAATTATAAAAATCCACCAAAGCCCCTTCGGAAAGAAAGCAATTAGCAATTGCAACAAGCAGTGCACAGGTGGCACCCAGGCAAAGGCGGCCAGTGAGATGCAGCCTGGCTCCCAGGCCTGGACAGGGCAGGCAGGTGCACTGGGCCAGAGGCACCTCGGCTCTGCTGATTGAATCTGGGCTGTGCGGGGATCCTCGGGTCTCCGTAGGGGGAGGCCACCTCTTTACAGGGCGGCCAACAGGCGCCTCCAAGGACTTTATCCCACCTTCCCTCTGGATGCATTCTGGATTTCGGGGCCAGCTTAGTTGGCCTGTGTCCTGAGGCCAGGCAGGCCAGACTCCCCAGGACAGGAGTTTCCGATGGACAGGACCCTAGGGGGATGGCTTTCCTGCTGTAGCGGTGTTGGAAGGACCCACTCGGGAAAGGCTCCAGCGGCTGTCCAGGCTCTCTCTGAGACGCCTCGGGATTGCTCCGCTGGATCCGCACCCACAGCTGCTCCAAGGGGAAGTTGCACCTACAAAGCTTCTGGCACAGGAGACAATGGTCTGGAGATGTGCCAGGGGCCCGCCCCACGCGTGGCTGGCAGGGTTCACCCACCGGCTGGCCCGTCCCGAAGCAACACGTGCCTGGGCGCGAACGCCGGATCCACGCTTTCCTCCAGACCCGGGGGTGGGACTTGGCGCCCCAGGATGACGCGGAGGGCAGGCTGGGGGCCGGGACTCCCCACCCCATTCGCAGGCTGCGGCGGAAAGCGAGCGGCGGGAAACCCGCTGCACAGCAACGGTTCTGCCAGGCGCCCGGGCCACCGCGACCCCCGCGGAGACCCCGGCCCACGCCCCGCACCCTCCCCAGGGCCCCCCAGACCCCAGGCTGCAGACCGCAGACCCCGGCCACGCCCCGCACCCTCCCCAGGGCCCCCCAGACCCCAGGCTGCAGACCGCAGACCCCGGCCCACGCCCCGCACCCTCCCCAGGGCCCCGCGGACCCCAGGCTGCAGACCGCAGACCCCGGCCCACGCCCCGCACCCTCCCCAGGGCCCCGCGGACCCCAGCGCCAGCCCCCACACTCACCTCACAGGGCCCTGCAAACCTCGGCCCGCGCCCCGCACTCACCCCAGGGCCCCGAGACACCCCGCAGCCCCCGACACGCGGCCCCGTGGCCCCGTTCCCCACCGGTACCTGCGACTCGGCGGGGCGGCTGCCCTGGGGCTCCCGGACCCGGCCCCGCGCACGCGGACTCCGGGACTACAGCGCCCACAAGGCGGCGCGGCGGGCGCGCGGCTGCGGGGTGGGCGGGTCCGTCCCGCCGAACGCGTCCTGAGGGCGGGGCCTCGCGCGTGGCCGGGCGCTGCGGCAGGAGCGTCCCCACGGGGCACCCTCCCACCCACGGCCGTCTCCCAGCCCCGGCGCCGGCCTCTCCCCACCCGGTCACCGCCGGGGTCACGCGGCCCCTCGTGCTGCGGCCCTACCCCTGGGGCCGCCCCCTGACCCCGACCGCCCCTCGGGCCCCCACCCCCGCCGGCGTCAGCATCCTGGGGTGCCACTCGCGGAGGTGTCGGTCCCTCGGGCGGGCACCCTGCCATCCCTCTCCCCCGCGTTCTTCCCACCCCCGGTCCCCTCCTGACCCCCCCTCCTCGACGAGGCCTTGTGCGTTTTCCTTTTGGCACCCTGGAACACCTGCATTCCTGGCCGCAAGCTGGATCCGGGACGCGGGTCGGGCCCACGCGCCCTCAGGGGTGGCCCTGGGCCGCCTTCGTGGGGCTCCAACAGGGACACGCACAGCCTGCTCTTGGGGACCGCACGGCCCCGAACTCGGCGCCCCCGGGACCCCGCCGCCCGCCCTCCTGCCTGACCGTGACCCGTACGGGCTTGTACCAAGGAGCAAGCCGGATCCAGGACGTGGCCCGGGGCCACCAGTCCCCATCCCAGCAGGGACAGCCCGGGGGAGACCCGCGCAGGCCTCGCAGACGGCAGCGCAGTCACACTCAGGAAGGGGGGCCTGGGCCACTCTCCCAGGAAGGCGTGGGGCTGCGGCAGACAGCACCGCCGAAAGCCCAAGGCCTGTGCAGGACACGGGGAGAAGTGGGGGGCCTCAGGGTCACTTTCCCCTGGAGTTACCCAGGGCCTGGCTATGGGGAGGGAAGCCAAGCCGAGGGCTGTGGGGGCCCCAAGGCTAAGGAGGAGCCAGGAAGTCCACTGCACAGAACAGAAGGGGACGGCCACCGTGGTACCCACAGCTCAAGAGTGCGGGTCCCAGGCGAGGGGTGAGTCTGGGGCAGCAGCCCCTGGAATGTACCCCTTCCGGAGTGTAGACAGCACAATCCGCGACCTGCCTCCTGGTGTTGCGGGGGTGCTCTTGGTCTCCCGCCCACCAGCAGGGCAACCCCACCAGGAAGCCAACACAGGGCCCTTGCCCTAAATGGCCGCCTGCCCAAAGCTCTGGCCTGGGCCTTCTTTCCAGAGTCCTGAGTGTAGCAAGCCACACGAACAAATCTCAAAGGAACTTAAAAAGGATTTGTTGGCTGGAAATGGGGGATCTGGGGTAGCTTGCAGAATTTAAGGGAACACTACAGGATGGAGCGCCTCACCTGGAGGGACCCCCTGCTTTGTGGGAGCCCTGGCTCTCTCCCCTGTACTGGCCTTCTCCACGGGTGGGCAGAACCTGGCCCTGCTGGAAGACAGGAGGGGCAACGCGGAGGAGGAGGGGCCCTTCCTTCCCTCCAGGCAGAGAGGAGCCAGCCATGGGGCCAGCTCGCCAGGGCAGCCTGCTCCCTTTACACGCAGGACAGGCCAGGAAGCCGAGGGGAAGTGGGGATGAACAGCAGCGGGGCTCCTAGACCCCTTCCCACAGAAGGATGGCTCCCACCCCCTTCCCGCCTGGAGACAGCAAGGCAGGGAGCCACAGCCCCAAGGGGACCCCGCAGGACCCACAAAGACCAGTCCCTCACCTGTCTCTCCGGTCAGGTGTAGCCGAGCGAATCCGCCCCCGGCCGCGAGGGGCCTGCCCAAGCTGCCCTCGGGTCCCCCTGCGTGGCAGGAGTCCTGGGAGTTCCCCAGCCACACAAGGCCCAGGTTTCCTGCAGGAGCTGCTTCGGAGTGGGGAGGTAGGGCTTCTGCCACCAACAGCACTTGGCAGTTGTAATCTAGAGGCAGCTGCTCTGAGGGAAGAGCCAGGAGACTCGTGAAGAACTTACAGAAACCTCCATTGAGGACTGCGAGGAGTGGCCACAGACAGTGGGGCGTGGGCTTCCAGAGGGCTCCACCCAAAATAGAGATTTACAAACGCAGGTGACTTGGGAGTGACACTGGCATCTGGGAATGGATCCTGTGCTTGGGCCCTCACGAGCCTCCAGCGGTCCCCGTCCTTGCGTGTTTCATTATCGGTTTGTCAAATAGTTAAGTGCCTGAGCGTCAGGGATGGCAGGGAGAGCTGGTCCCTGGGAGAAGCCCTGGGTTGGAGGGATCAGCAGGGGCCCAGCAGTGTGGATCCCGGCCCTCCAGCCTGTAGGCTCCAGCCATATACAGTGATGTCTGGGGGCTGCAGGCCGCAGAGACCCCTTCCCCTCCTGGAGGGGCTCAGGTGGGCTCTGCAGCCCACCCCACAGCAGTGCCCCATCCCCAGCTCCTGGGCCCCCACTCCCCGGCAGCCTTAGCACCCATAGTCCAGGCCCAAGAAATCTCTGCCAGAGAATGAGGACCCTGCCCACCCACTGCCTTCTGAGACCAACCGGCCAGTCCTCTGCCTTGGCTGGAGAGACGCAGGGCTGTCCCTGTGGTTAAGGTCCCCGTCAGCATAGGGAGGCAGTGGCATTCGAGCAGCCCTTTCCCTCAGCTGGTGCTGTTGTGGTGGCTGTGGCTCTGGAAGCAAGGCTTGGACCAAATGCTAATACATGGACACACATGCACAGAGACACACAGATCCATGCAGACGTGCAGAGACGTGCACATGCAGATGGACACAGACATGCGCAGACACGCACACACACTGATGTGGTTTGGATTCTCTGTCCCCTCCAAATCTCATGTTGGAATGTGATTCCCAGTGTTGGAAGTGGGGCCTGGCGGGAGGTGTTGGATCATGAGGACGGATCCCTCATGAATGGCTTAGCACCATCACCTTGGTGATGAGTGAGTTCTTGTTCAGTTAGCTCACTCAAGAGCAGGTTGTTTAAAAGAGTCCGGGACCCCCCCCTTGCCCTCCCCTCCTCCCACTCTTGCTATGTGACGCTGGCTCCCCGTCACCTTCCACCATGTGTGGAAGCTTCCTGAGGCCTCACCAGGAGCAGATGCTGGCACCATGCTTCCTGTACAGCCTGCAGAACCGTGAGCCAATTACACCTATTTTCTTTATGATACCCAGTCTCTGTGTTCCTTTATAGCAACACAAAAACAGCCCCCCTCATACGTACACACACGTACAGACACCACCAAGACATATGCACAGATACAGAGACGTAAACATACAGACATACACATGACACAGAGATACAGAGACATACACATGCATGCTCCCGTGCAGACGGCACCCCATATGCAGGAAGACGGGCGCGGACCGGCCTGCCATGCCCCAGCATGTGCAGTGAACTGGCCTGCACATGGCCTCAGCCAGTTTTTCCTCCCACATTTCCAGACGTCTCCCCAGTCTCACCTTGCTGAATGACAGGTGCTTCTGCTCCCATCTGAATCTGCTTGGTAGAGGTGCGGTGCGCCCTGTAAATGCCTTACCTGGCTTGCTGGCCAGTGGGTCTCTGCTGCAGCTGCCCCTCTCTCCAGCCCCCACTCCCGCCAGGCCTTCGCCCCCACTTTTTCCACGAGCTGACCTCCTAACACTCCCAGCGGCCAGGGGTAGCCCATCACAAGGGCCTAGGGGCCCAAAGGTCTGGAGAAGGGGGACTGACATGGATGCCCCTGTGTCAGGCCTCCCAGCACTAGCCCCAAGCCCAGGCCTGCCTGCAGCTGTGGCCCCCATCCTCTCAGAGGCTGAGCCGGGCCACCGTCCTCAGCACCTTGTCTGTGAAGCCAGAAGCCAGAAGCCCTGTGGCAGCTGAGCGGAGAAGCAAAGCCCAGAGGAAGAAGCGTTGTCCCTGGCCTGCCTGGAGCCCCGGAGCTCCTGGCTTCCGCATCCCCCAAGTGAGCGCAGGTCCCTCACAGCCTGTCACAGCCCCACAGCAGTGGGGCTAACCTGGGCCTGTGCCTGCCACACTTCTTCCCTGGAAGGGTGTCCCACCTGGTCCTCTGGGCATGGAGTTGAATTCTGAGCCCCACTGGGGCCCCGGACAGCGGCCCTAGCAGGCCCAGCCCCTCCCAGTTGAGCCCTGCCTGGCCCAGCAGCAGAACACTGAATCCCGATGCCCCCAAGTCTCCCTATAGCCAGACTTTCACAAAATCATGCTTAAATAGCCCATCTTTACTAGGGAAAGGGGGAGGTTTGAACCTCTTTGGAATCACAGGCAGCTGTTTAGAATAATGTCATCTAACGAAAGAGTGTTCGAAAAACATTAAAATAACCAGTGGAAATCTGGCCTACTGCAAGGTGGAGTTTGAAGCCTACACTGCCTGGTCCTCATTTCCAGAACTTGGAGGTGATAACCCTCCTGCCCACAGGTGGAGTGATGTCCGGCTACAGGAACATCCTGCGGTCGGAGGAGGTTTGCATCAAGCTCCGCCACAATCACAGGCATGCATCTTGGTTGCAAGCAAGCTATCCGAGAAACCTAAGCGTGACATTAGAAGACAAAATGATTGGGAAGGAAGCGGCAGAGTCTCTGTTCACAGATGATGCAATTGTCAGGGCAGTAAATCCTAACAGGTTATCAAAAATACTAGAAATAAGGGCATTTAGCAAGGTCATGAGATACTAAGTCTATATACAAAAGTAATTGTACTTCTATAATCTAGCAACAAATAATTGGAAGACAGAATTTGAAAAACAGTATTTACAACGCCAATGAAAATCAGAAAATATCTAAGAATGCATTTAATGAAAAATGTGTAAGTTCTCTATACCGAAAGCTGCAGAACATTACTGAGAGAAATTAGTGAAGAGCTAAACAAATGGGGGAGACAGACCTTGTTCATGGATTGTGTAAACCAAAAATAAACTTCTAAGCCCCCAACCGTCTGAACAGACCACTCCTCTGGGCAAGGGCATTCCAAAGTTAACCTGAAAAACTGGTTCAGGCCATGAGGGGAAGGGAGGGATGGATACTCGTCATTATACCTGACCCCCTTTTGGAATTCAGGGAAAGCCGACCAACTTTCAACGTCAACACAGACCTTAAGTCTGATAAGAATCATTTAGAATCTAGTCTTTGAAGCCTGCGACCCAGAGACTTCATCTGCTGCTAAAACTTTGATCTCCACAACCCCTTACTTAACCTAGACATCCCTTTCTATTGATAATAACTCTTTCAACCAATTGCCAATCCCGACATGTTTAGCTTTACCTGTAACCTGGAAGCCAGCCCCCACCAGGTTGTCCCACCTTTCCACACCAGAGCAGTGTATATCTTACATGTATTTGATTGGTGTCTCATGTTCCCTTAAATGTATGAGACCAGGCTGTGCCCAGTCACCTTGGACGCATGTTTTAGGATCTCCTGAGGGCTGCGTCAAGGGTCATGGTCACTCATATTTGGCTCAGCATAAATCTCTTCATATATTTTACATAGTTTGACTCTTTTCATTGACAATTGGAAGGCTCATTATTAAGGTGAACATTCTCCCCAAATTGATCCATAGATTCAGTGCAATCCAACAGAGATCTCACAGGCTTATTTCTTAGAAATTGAAATGTTGATTCAGAATTGAGATGGAAATGCAAAAGACTTACAATAGCCAGAACAATTGTGACTAAGAAAAGTGACGTCGGAGAGCTCAGAGATATGGAGACCAAGGGAAGCTGGTGGAGTCCGGCAATAGGACCACCCACATGGACCACAGATTTCCAACAAGGGTGTCCACGTAATTCATTTGGGGAAAGGGTGGTCTCTAGATCACATAGTTCAAGAACAGCTGGATATCCACAGGGGAAGATGAACATCAGACTTTATCACGTCCCTTTCACAAACACTAATTTGAGACCCAAACTAAAAGCTAACCCTGTCAAACTTGTAGATCTGTGTCCAGTGACACAGGAAGCAAACAAAATGCCACACCTGGGAGGAAACATTCATATTCCTTGTATCTGATACAGGACTTGTATCCAGACACGTAAGTGACGCTTACAACTGAGTAATAAGAAAATAGCCCACTTCTTAAAACACACAAAAGAGGCCGGGCGCAGTGGCTCACACCTGTAATCCCAGCACTTTGGGAGGCCGAGGCAGGTTGGTCACTTGAAGTCAGGAGTTCAAGACCAGCCTGGCCAACATGGTGAAACCCCACCTCTACTAAAAATACAAAAATGAGGCTGGTGTGGTGGCGGGTGCCTGTAGTCCCAGCTACTCAGGAGGCTGAGGCAGGAGAATTGCTTGAATCTGGGAGGTGGAGGTTGCAATGAGCCGAGAGCTCACCTCTGCACTCCAGCCTGGGCGACAGAGTAAGACTCTGTCTAAAAAAATAAATAAATAAATAAATATATGCAAAAGATTTGAACACTTAAATAAGACGTGAAAATGTACCTAATATCATAAATATCATAATCCTTTGTCATTAAGGCCTGAAGTACCAAACCACTCCTACTATAAAGGCTAAAATTTAAGAAGCTGACAATACTAAGTGTTGACAAGGCTGTGGAGTAGTATATGGGGATGTGAAATGTTACAAACACTTTGGAAAACAGTGGGGCAGCTTCTTGTGGAGTTTAACACGTGTCTACTTTATGAACCACAGTTCCACTCCTAGGCATCTGTTGAAGAGATGTGAATGCATGATCCCACAAAAGCCCATGCACAGGGGTTGTACCCTGTTCTCATGTAACTGCTAAAAACTGGCAACAACCCGAATATCCATTATGGGATGAAGGATAAACACGCAGTACATCCACATAACAGGGACTACTCAGACTAAAAGGAAATAACAACTGAGTGAGTCTCAGCACCCTCGTGCTGGAGGGGCCAGAGTCCAGCCTGGGAAAGTCCATCTGTAGGGGAGGGAGGCTCCGTCCTGGAAGGAGGCAGGTGAGCAGGTGCCTGTGGTGGAGGCTCGGGGTCAGTGGAATTGTTCTGTGTCTGATGGGGGTAGAGGTTAATGGTTGTGTTCATCTGTCAGACATGTTTAACAACTGCTTCTAATGGGTGCAATTTATGGCATGTGAATTGCACCTCGATAAAATTGTTTTTTAAAAGCCTGCACTGCTGGAAGTGGGGGAAAGGCCTGGAAGCAAGTCGAATGCTCCAAGCCCTCTCGTGTCTCTTGGGAGACAATCCAGGCCTCAGTTGGTTACAAGGGAGAACCCAGAACAGCCTCAGCCTCGGGAGAAAAGGGCAGTGATGTGGCAGGGGAGGGGCAGGGGGACAGGTAGTGGGTGGTGGGGAGGGGGACAGGTGGTGGGGGAGGGGCAGGGGGAGAGGTGGTGGGTGGTGGGGAGGGGGATAGGTGGTGGGGGAGGGGCAGGGGACAGGTGGTTGGTGGTGGGGAGGGGGACACTTGGCGGATTGTGGGGAGGAGGACAGGTGGGGGGTGGTGGACGGTGGGGAGGGGACAGCTGGGCGCACACTGTGGCTCTTGGTTGCAGATGGGGTACAGGTCCAGTATGCTCCAGCCACGTAGGTCTCCATGTGACCTCCTTCACATCTTGTCCCCACAGAGACCCTCATCTCTGCCCCTTCTTAGCCCCAGGGCAGCCCTCCCAGGCTGCAGAGCCCCGAACTCTCTGGCATCTTGGGAACTGTCTCTCCCCGGCCAGGCTGGCACATGCGGATGTTGCAGCATTGGCCAAAAGTGGACAGTGGGGGTCAGTGTGGGGTACCGCCCACCCCATCCCAGCCCCTCCTGGGCTGCTGTGCATCCTGCTCCTGCCCACCCAGCCCAGGCTGGCACCTCCTCCTGGTCTCTCCCACACCCCATGCACCGCCCTGGTCACTTCTGTGGTTTGGGGTGTTTCCCTCCTGGGGAGGCGCCTCCTGCCTGATGAGACCTCTGAGCCCCAAAGGGTCACATGAGACTGTGTCCCCAGGTGGCAGCTGTTGGTTCTCTCCAGCCCCCACAGACACCTCAGGCCCTCGTATGCCAGACCGCTTGGAGATGGGGTCTTCTGTGCTCCCTTCTTCCCATGGGCCACCTGCCACCCCGTCCACAAGCACAAGTGAACGTTTCCACGTGGAAAGGGCTGGTTCTCCAGCTGGAATTTCCTTGACTACACGGTCTTATTAGATCCAGAATGGAACTGCATGAAATAAACAGGGAGATTTGGGCAGGATGGAGCTCAGTTCTCCCAGCCAAGGGGAGACCACAGCCAGCTCTCCATTCACGGTTCAGGATCACAGCAGCCCCGCCGGGAGGCTTGGCCTTGCAGGCCCCGGGCTTCCGTGGTTTTGTTGCATGCAGATTTCGTCGTCTTCTTCTGAATGTTTCAGTATTCATGTGTTCCTGGATGACTGGCGTTCCCTCTCAATTTTCACACGCAGTAGTGCAGGGGCGTGCAGTCTGCAGACCCCTCTCCTCTCCTCCACCTTCTCAACCTCCCTTACCTCCACACCCATCTCCCCTCCCTGCCTCCCTCCTCTGCCTTCCTCCCCTCTCCTCCGCCTTTCTGTCCCCTTCCCTCCCACCACCGCCCCCCACCCTCCCCCCGCCTCCCCACAACCCTTCCCCCACCCTCCTCAACCTTCCCAGCACTGGCCCCCGCCTCCATTCTCCTCCCCACAACACCCACTTCCTCCTCTACCTTCCCCCTTGTCTTAGTCCCTTTCCTGTTCTTCACAGTCCCAGCTACGCCTGGGTTGGTTGCACTCTCTGTTCCTCTTATTTTCTTTCAAGGAACTACCTTTTGGATCTAAAAACTCAAGTTTTACTTAAGAGGCTGAGGCAGGAGAATAGCTTGAACCCGGGAGGTGGAGGTTGCAGTGAGCCGAGACACTGCACTCCAGCCTGGGCGACAAGAGCGAGACTCCATCTCAAAGGAAAAAAACAAAAAAAATCAAGTTTTAATTGCTTTCCAATTAATTAATTTCTGCTTTTCTCATTATTTTTTCTTTTTCCTGTTGACTTTGTTGTTCCTTTCCTGTTCTAGTTTCTGAGTTAACTGCTATGTTCCTTTAATTTGAATAAAACTAGGAATAATAAACCATTTAATAATTCATTCCTCTCACGGGGCACCTTTGGCCAGGCCCATGGACGCTGTGTCACTACACTTGTTGCTGTCAGCCTCTACGTAGGACGTGATTTTTGCTTGATTTCCTCTTGGACTCATGACTCATTACAGAGAATGATTCAAACGTTTCCAGTAGGCAGATGTTGTTGTTTGTTGGTTTAATATGTCGTTTTATAAAGTTCAGATCAAAGAACGTGGCCTAAGCAGGTATTCATTTTGTGAAATTGTTTTGAGCTTCGATTTGTGGCTTGGTTTTGGGTTATGTTTTAAACTTTTTCATGGGCTTTCGAAAAATGCATATTCTCTATGCACATCGTGTTTTATATGAATAAAATCTAAATTGCAAATAGTGGGATTTCAATCTCTGATAGCCTCATTCATGCATTGTCTGGGGTATGTGTCAAGTTTGCCAGAGTGAAGGGCCCCGCCGTGACTGGGGTTCGCGCCTCCCTGCATGTCCACGCCTTTATGTCCGTACTTTAGGGCAGTGTGGAGATGGACCCACACCGCCTGCGTGTTCTGCCGCCACGCTGGCCTGAGACCTCGGCTTCCTGTGCGGCCTCCTTATGGCTGTTTCAGGTGCGTTCCTCAGAGCATGGGGTGGAATTTGCTTTTCTACAAAAGGTGTCTGCCCGAGTGTCTGACCCACTGTCTCGCCGCTCCATGGGGCTGGCTGTGTGGTGGGGACTGACGGCCTCCTCAGGAGGAGACAGTGATGACCCCAGGGAGTGGGTGAGGCCACTGTCAGACCAGAGAGATCTGCGATGGGCCAAAGAAGAGGCTGGGCTGCTGCTGCTGCATCTGTGTCTGCCCAGGGGAGCTACATCCTGGCCTCAGGACCTCCCTCCCAGCCTGAGCAGCAGGGGTCAGGCTGGTCCAGCTCTCAGGAGTGTCCCAGGGAAAGAACAAAACTGCCCTCCTGTCCACTCCAGGGAGACCCACAGGCTGTGCCACCAGCAGGCAGTGTGGACATCGGTGGCTGTTGGGTCGGGGGCCCCAGGGAGAGCCCCTGGGGAGAGCGACACCCACCCGGAGGCTCAGGCCAGGCCAGGACCGCAGCCCTCGAATGTGCAGAGACCCCGGGTCCTACCCAGGCCCGGGTCTCGGGACCACGTGGAGGAGGGATTAGCGCGTGCTATAATCCGCAGTCACCAGCAGAGCAGACAGCCTCTCGCCCAGAACAGGGCACCCGGGACAGCCCCAGCCCCAGCAGAGAGGGGCTGGTCTCAGCGAAGTGGAGCGGGTCTTAGTGGGTTGGGGCCAGTCTCATCCTGGCCCTGGGTGTGTCCCAGACCCCTAATGCGGAGCCTGCAGGTCATTCCTGGCCCATGAGTCTGACCTGACACGGGAGTCTCTGGGCTGGTCCGCCCGTCCACCCTGTCCCTGCGTTTGTGCTGATAGGAGGACACTGCTCAAAACACACGACGGCTGTGTGCTATAATCCACGGTCACCAGCAGAGCAGACGGCCTCTCGCCCAGAACAGGGCACCCAGGGCAGTGCCAGCCCCAGCTCTCCGTGGCGCCCCCCATGTGCTCACTTTTACACAAGACCTCGCGCAATGGAAGCTCTTCCTCCTGGCAAATCGCAGGGGGCAGATTCCACTAAAACAAGACTCCACCGGGCGGCAGGTGGCCAGGCTCAGGGCTGGGGCAGGACCGGAGCGGGGGCCTCGCTGGAGGCTGGGCCTGGAGGGCAGGGGCCTTTGCTGCCGTGGGTGCAGTTTTGTAAGCAGAGGCTGGGGCTGGGTCCTGCCCTGCAAGCTCTACTGGTCCTTCCAGGCACCGCGCATCCCTCCCACCGGCCTAAGGGGACGGGAGCCGCTGACCTTTAGGACCTGTGCAAGGGTCATGGTGCTGTGTGAAGGACACGACTCCAGGCCACATCCTCCCTCCAGCCCATGAGGGTCCCCGGGATAAAGTCCAGAGGAGCCACAGGGGACACGGCTCAGTGGGAGGCAGCCCGGCCCATCACAGTGCCAGCCCTAGGCCTTGCTGTTATTATTTTGTATTTTTTTTGTGGTAAAAGAGACATAAAATGTACCATGTTAACTATTTTTAACTGCACACTTCAATGGCATTAAGGACATTCACACTGTTGTGCGGCCGTCACCCCCATCATCTCCAGAACTCTTTCGTCCTGCAAAACTGAAGCTCTGCACCCAAGACACACTCACCCCCAATCCCCCCGCGCCCCCCTCCTAGTCCCCCCGCGCCCCCTTCCCAGTCCCCCACACCCCATCCCAGTCCCCCACGCCCCATCCCAGTCCCCCACACCCCCTCCCAATCCCCCACACCCCCTCCCAATCCCCCACGCCCCATCCCAGTCCCCCACACCCCCTCCCAATCCCCCACGCCCCCTCCCAGTCCCCCACGCCCCCTCCCAGTCCCCCACGCCCCCTCCCAGTCCCCCACACCCCCTCCCAGTCCCCCACACCCCCTCCCAGTCCTCCACGCCCCATCCCAGTCCCCCGAGCCCCCCTCCCAGTCCCCCGTGCCCCCCTCCCAGTCCCCCACGCCCCATCCCAATCCCCCATGCTCCCCCAATCCCCCGCGCCCCCTCCCAGTCCCCCGCGCCCCATCCCAATCTCCCCGCGCCCCCTCCCAGTCCCCCGCGCCCCCTCCCAATCCCCCCGCGCCCCCCTCCTAGTCCCCCCGCGCCCCCTTCCCAGTCCCCCACACCCCCTCCCAATCCCCCACGCCCCCTCCCAGTCCCCCACGCCCCCTCCCAATCCCCCACGCCCCCTCCCAGTCCCCCACGCCCCATCCCAGTCCCCCGCGCCCCATCCCAGTCCCCCACGCCCCATCCCAATCCCCCATGCTCCCCCAATCCCCCGCGCCCCCTCCCAATCTCCCCGCGCCCCCTCCCAGTCCCCCACGCCCCCTCCCAATCCCCCACGCCCCCTCCCAATCCCCCGCGCCCCCTCCCAATCCCCCCGCGCCCCCTTCCCAGTCCCCCACGCCCCCTCCCAATCCCCCACGCCCCATCCCAGTCCCCCGCGCCCCCATCCCAGTCCCCCATGCCCCCCCAATCCCCCGCGCCCCCCTCCCAATCCCCTGCGCCCCCATCCCACTTTCTGGCCGGGTCTGGCCACCGCGGGGCCTCTGAGTGGAACCACGCACAGGGGGCGTCCTCTTGTGCCTGGCCAGGGGCACTCAGCATCGTGTCTCCAGGTCCCTGCACGGGGCAGCGGCGTGGAAACTTCCTTTCAGGCCGGCGATCCTTCCTGTGTGCGTCTCCACATTTTGATTTTTCATTTATGGATGGACATTTGGACATCTCCTTCCGCTTGGCTGTGGTGACTAAAGCTGCTGTGCTATCATTTTTACTATTATTGTTATGACAAGTTGACAAGTGAATCTTTCTCTTACGGTTTCGGTTTTTCCCATCTTATTTGCTTTTAACTGTCCAGATTCATTGAGTCCCAGCAGCGGGCCCTGTTCCCGGCTTCAGTGGCGAGGCCCCTCGCCTTCTCCCCAGAAGCAGCCCCTTTGACGACATCGGTACTTTCGGTCCATTCCCTGGGTCGATGTTTCCAGAACCCCGCGCCCAGGAGCACGTCCAGGTTATGCGTGGGGCCGCCCTGTGCGCGCGCCTGGAGGCCTCGGGTTTCCCCGACGCAACGCGGGGAGTGGCCACCAGGGGGCGAGCGGCGCCCGGAGCCTCCGCGGGTCCCAGCCCAGCAGCCTCGCGACGCAGGGGGCGGTGCAGGGGGCGGCGGGGGCGGCGCAGGGGGCGGTGCAGGGGGCGGCGGGGGCGGCGCAGGGGGCGGTGGGGGGCGCCGGGGGGCGGCGCAGGGGGCGGCGCAGGGGGCGGCGCAGGGGGCGGCGCAGGGGGCGGCGCAGGGGGCGGCGCAGGGGGCGGCGGGGGCGGCGGGGGGCGGCGGGGGGCGGCGGGGGCGGCAGCGCTGCAGGTGGGGGTGGGGGTTGCAGGGGCGGCGGGGACAGTATGGGAGGCAGGGGCGGTGTGGAGAGCTGGGGGCCGTGGGGGGTGTTGGGGGCGGGAGGGGGATGGGGGAGGTTGTGGGGGGAAGGGGAACCGGCTTGGGTGGCCATGCAGGCGACGCGGGTTGCAGGGAACGGAGGTGCAGGGGGCGGCGGCGGGGGCGGCGGCGAAAGGGGACGGGCTTGCGTGGCCCCGCGCGGGGGCTAAGGGGCTGCAGGCCAACCCACCGTCCCGGGCACTTGGGACTCAGGAGGGCGGGGCGGGGCGGGGCGGCCCGCGTGGGGAGTGCCTGAGGCTGGCCTAGGCCCTGGGACCGTAGCCTCCCGAGCAGGGTGGGCTCCACGCGAACGGCGGGCGCTGGCAGAAAGCGACCCACGCAGAGTTCCGCGCCAGCCGAGGGGCCCGGCTGCCGCCCATGCGCGGTCCTGGAGGTGCCGGGAGGGGGTCGCGGACCCTGAGGCAGGATCCACGTGGTCCCTGCGGGCCCAGTGAGTGACATCACCGCGACGCTGCGCATGGAGCAAGCTCTACACCCGGGAGATGGCCACGGTGCGCATGCAGCAAGGTCTACTCCCGCGAGGTGACCACGGGACAGACGATCCTCTGAGGTTTCCAGGAAGACCCCCGCCCTAATCCTCTGAAGGTCGGAGGTCACAGGTCAAAGCCGAGAACAGAAGCTGGGGTGGGGCACACAGAGGTGGAAAGAGGGGCCTGAGCATCGGGCGGCCACCAGCAGGGTCCCCTCCTGGCCACAAGGACGCTCCCGTTCCAGTCCCCGGAAGAGGGTGGCTGCAGCCACCCCGGGGATGACCAGCAGAGGTCCTCACGGCCTGCGGCCCGGGGAGACCTGAGACTCCTAAGCTGAGCACGTCAGCGTCTCTACCTCCACCGCAGACAGAAAGACCGGGCGGACCCAAGACTGCAAGCTCAAGCCCTGGCGGCAGGGCAGCGGGGCCTGTGAGGGCCGAGGGTGGACGCTGCTCTGAGCCAGACCCGCTCGTCAGCAGCTCGGCCTCCCCCGCTGCTCCCCACCAGCGCCCGGGCTTGGGTGTTTGGTGCTTCCAACTTTTCAAGAGAAGCTTGAAATCTGTAATTCTTATGTGAAATCCTGCCTTTCTTAACTAATTAAAGACTTAAAATTAGCTAGTTAAAATTAATTAAAATTGATTAAATTTGTACTAATTAAAACTAACTGAATTCTTCTCAAAACACCGTGCAGACGAAACCAGTCAGTGACACACCTGTCTGCAGCCATAGCACCAGGAGACATGGGGTGGGGGCCAGGGACATGGCCGGAGCTGCCACAGACAGGACAGAACAGGACGTTGTCAAGCGCTCTGTGGCTGATCTGTCTCTGTTGCACCAAAGTATTTTAAATGTTCTCTCACGTCCTCTGGAAGATCTTGGATGGGGAGAGAGGCGGGGTGGAGGGTGGCATGGGAGTCCTGTGGCCGGGGCTTCCTGGGGGCCCTGCACAGCAACCGGCCTGCACGTGTCTCCTGGGACGGCGACTCAGATGCATGTGTCACCTGGGACGGCACCTCAGACGCATGTGTCTCCTGGGACGGCGACTCAGATGCATGTGTCTCCTGGGACGGCGCCTCAGAGGCCTGGCTACTCCGAGAGGCCTCTGGACACCATGTAACCTCCCCTGGGCTCAGCCCTGGCCTGGCCAGTGCCCTGGTACCAGGACTTGGGCACCAGCCACTGCCTCCCCACGTGTCAGCTCCTTGCACAATGGCACCCGCTGCATGGAGCTGCCCAGGACTCAGGAAGAACGGAGCTGGAGGCTGGGCCCTGGGGCTGCTGAAGCCCTGGCAGCAGGAAGGGATTTGAGATAGAGAACCCGAGGCCAGAGCACTGGGGCTCAGACAGCGGCCCGGGAGATGGGTCTTCCCTATCAGTGGAGACAGACCTTGGCCTCGTGACACCCTGGAGTCCCCGGCTTTGACCCCGTAGCCCGTGCCACATTCTCCTGAGGCTTCTCGTCTGCTCTGGGTGAACCAGGTGCTGGCCTGTGCCTTGTGGCCCCAGCCTGGCCCTGAGCCCCGGGTCCTGCACACCTTGCTGGTAGTCTCTGTCACAGAGACGGTTGGGCCCGGAGGCTGCTGGCATGTGAGTGTCCGCCTGGAGTGTCCTGCTCCAGCCACAGCCCTGCAGTGGTTCATGGCCAGAGCAGAGGAGCGAGGGCTGGGGGTTTGTGCAGTGACCAGGACCAGGGTGCAGGGGCCCAAACCAAGGCCACTCACTGCCCTGAATTGAGCAGAAGGGATGCTCTGAGGCTCCCGGGGAGCCTCAACCCTCCACCACACTCAGACAGTGTGCCTCTCTTGGACCGTGTCCTGCGCTCTGGTGACTCTCGGGGATGCTAGTGAGGAGCTTGTCCCGGCTCAGGCTGAGCCCTCTGCTCAACTAACAGCACAGACGCAGCCCAGACAGTTGCGGAGGGGAAGCAGGTGTGGGGGTGGCCGTGCCCTCGGCACTCGGACTTGGCCTCCTGAGCCCAGTGGCGTGGGGAGTGATAGTGTGATGCTCACCTTTGCCTCCTGCGTGTCTGACGGAATCATTCCTGTTTAGACATGAGCTCCATTCTTCGGAGGGCATGACCAGGAGGCCACCTATTTGGGGATATTTTTAGAGTCATGCCATCCAAGGCAGTCTGTGCCGAGTGGCTCCATATTCAGACAGCGGCGGCATCGTCTCCAAGCCTGGGCTCAGTGGTTAGCACGTCCCGTGCTGACGAGAGACTGGAGGCGGCTTCTGAAAACCCTTCGGGGCCAAGGCTCTCTAGTCGGACTCCACACGGCTGGTGACAGATCAGGCCAGACAAGTGCATGACACCCACCATCCAAGACGACAGGCTGAGACCCCCCAAGTCCAGGTGGGCCACGGCTGGCTGGACCTCAGCTGGGACTCGGACATGCTGGCTCTGCAGCCTGGCCCCAGGGTGTGGGCCTGCAGCTCTGGCTGCTGAGAAATCCCCAGTGGGCCCTTCAATCTTTGAAGGATTCGCCCCATTGTCACTGCAGTGAGACCCCCTGAGAACCCGGGAAGGCAGTGGTGCCGCAGAAGGGGTGCTGGCCGGCGAGCCTTGGGGATCTTCCCAGGGATGCAGCAGGTGGGGCTGTGACCAGGCTGCAGAGGGTGTTTCTTCTTCGTATGTGGCCAGTGTGACTTGAGTTCAGCCCCAGAAATAAATGTGTGAGAGGACTGCGTTTGGTTTGAGCGAGGGCAGGCACAGGTAGGGAGCGGAGCTGCTACAGGAAGCCCTGCGGCTGGGAATCTGAGGGAGTCGGGGCAGCCTTGTTGCCAGGGCAGGACAGAGTACGGCCACCTGGTTGCTTGGAACAAGGTGGAGCTGTGTTCCAATTTCTCAGCACACAGGGAAACACATTTCAGTTAAATTGAATTTTCTTTTTCTTTTTTCTTTTTTTTTTTTTTGAGGTGGAGTCTGGCTAGGTCCCCAGGCTGGAGTGCAATGCTGCAATCTCAGCTGACTACAACCTCTGCCTCCCAGGTTCAAGCGATTCTCCTGCCTCAGCCTCCCAAGTAGCTGGGATTACAGGTGCACACCACCACGCCCAGCTAATTTTTGTATTTTTAGTAGAGACGGGGTTTCACCATGTTGGCCAGGATGGTCTCGATCTCTTGACCTCGTGATCCATCCACCTCAGCCATCCAAAGTGCTGGGATTACAGGCATGAGCCACCGTGCCTGGCCTAAATTGAATTTTCATGTGGAAGTCAATAACTACATAAATTTGGGAATGTCAGTGGCAGAAATCACAAAGGAAAAGATGAGTAGATGTGCTTGCATCCAACCTAAAAACATCTTTAAGTCAAAAAGCACCATGAAGAACTGCCAGCCCCTCAGCTGTGTGGAAACATCGCAACGTTGAGGCCGGGTGAGTGTCGGTGTCCTGGGTCCATCAGGGAATTGCCCCCATCTGTGTATTTAGGTCGGTGAGGTGTCACCACGCACCGACAAGGAGACAAACACACACACTGAAAATGGCCAGGGGTGTGGGCGAGTCCCCCATGGGGACCAGCGGTAGGCAGCATCCTCCGGAGACCACGGGAAGGCCAGGTCTTCCAGCTCCAACTTGCAAAGATTTGCTAAGATTTATATTTTTTTCCAGTTGTTTTTCAGTCTTTATTTTATTGAGGCCCCTGCAGGTACCTGTGGATTCTGATTTGCAGCTCTGTCCAGGGAGCATCCGGCCAAACCTGGAGCCCGGGGCGTGCGGATGGACCTCTGGACGTGGGGCCACACCTGTGCGCGAGTTTTCTCACTTACTGGCTCGGAGGTGGTTCCACATCAGCACACGCAGAGCTTCCGTGTTCCTTATTAACAGCAGTGAAGAACTAGTCATTCAAATGCGCATCATTCCCTCACACAGGGTATTTTTAAGAGAAATTGCTAGACATGGAGTTTGCTGTCAAAATGGCCCCCAGTGTGACAAGCAGATTTATTTTTACTGTGACATCCATTTCTGATGATGATGGGGGCAGACAGCCCTCCACATGGGCAGTGGGCACAGCTGAACCTCAGGCAATCGGCCACAGCCCCAGAGACAGGATCCGCATGTGAACAGACCACCAGCAGGGGCCAAAACGTCGGAAATGCAGCTTACTCTGCAGAAGGCAGCACGTCACACCCCCCAGCTCCCAAAATGTAGGAAACTGGCTCGTGCCAGGTGTGGCTAGAACGTGGGCATAGGGGAGCCCTGGGGTCACTCATGGAGCATAAACCGTGCAGCCTTCCTGGGGAGCGGCCTGGCCCTGAGAGGTGGGGACGCCAGGGCCCGGCAAAGTCCTCTCCAGGATCCACCCCCCAAGGACTCCTCCCACAGCCACACAGGGCCCACACAGGGACGTGCCCACGGCTCAATGAGGCCAGCAGGAGCGGGACACTCCATGTCCATCACCTTGGGAGGGTCAGGCAAAGCGCACTGGGTGCCCACTATGGCCCCCACAGGAGCTAATCCACCATGCAGCAGGGAGGGGTCTTGGAGACGCTATGTGGGAATGGGATGTGGCACTGGCACCCCCGCTAGGGTGCCCACGGTGGCGCCCACAGGAGCTAATCCACCACGCAGCAGGGAGGGGTCTTGGAGACGCCATGTGGGAATGGGATGTGGCACTGGCACCATGGTAGGAAGCGAAATCAGAGTCCAAACAAAGAGACACACACTCCTCCAGAACAGGAGGGAAGAGACAACACCAGCAAGGACGGCCGCACACGGCGGGGCAGGGGAGCGGAGGTTGGAGTTGGGAATGAGGATTTGAAGGACCAAGAAGAGGAATGACAAAGGTGAGGTGCCTTGCGGAGTGGTGACAACAGTGGCCAAGTGCCAATGAGGAGGACGAACCCAATGCTGGGCTGAGGCCAAACAGACAAACAAGAAGAGCAGCACCCAGGCTTGGAGCTGAGGGAGGCCCGAGCCCCGGAGAATCGGCGCTGTCCTCTGAGCTGGCCTCTCTGATGCTGCTTTCTCCATGATAAAGAGGCGCTCTCACGGCTGGCGGAGGGAATGCTCATGGCCTGGCTCAGCCTCAGCTGCTGCTCTTACAACTGCTGTGGTCATTCCCTGCCCTTAGAAACGAAGCTGCTTCCCAGCCACCCATGTGCAAAGGAAGAAGGAAAGAACGAGAATAAACGACCAAGCCTAATCCACTTTCCCTGCCTTGCGAACCACAGTATTTTCTGCTGCCGTGCACTTGGAGAGAGCAAATGTCACCGAGTCTTGTTGAGAAGACAAGAGAGGCAAGAGGTCTGAACAACACCCAGCTGGGGGCAAATGCCTTCAGACAAGCACAACCAAAGTAAAACAGGAACGAGCAATGACCCTAAAAGATGTGCTAGAAATAATTGACCAAGTATAAAATAAATATTTGAGTATTCTATTGCAGTAACTTGCCATGCCATTCACTTGTAATAAATGAACCTCTTTCAAGTTAGAACATGTTGCGTTTGTGCAGCCAGGATTAAATATGGTAGGTCTGGGGCCCGGAGCGTCTCCCGGTGTTCCCACTCCTGGCCTGGTGGGTTCCAGCTGCAAGTGCTGGACTCTGCATTGGAAGTGAGGGTGAGGCCGGGCGCGGTGGCTCATGCCTGTAATCCCAGCACATTGGGAGGCTGAGGTGGGCAGATCACCTGAGGTTAGGAGTTCGAGACCAGCCTGGTCAACATGGTGAAACCCTGTCTCTACTAAAAATACAAAAATTACCCAAGTGTGGTGGCATGCACCTGTAGTCCCAGCTATTTGGGAGTTTGAGACAAGAGAATTGCTTGAACCCAGGAGGCGGAGGTTGTAGTGAGCCAAGATCATGACACTGCACTCCAGCCTTGGGGACACAGCGAGACTCCATCTCAAAAAATAAATAAATAAATAATAAATAATTAAAAAATTAAATAAAAAGTGAAGGTGGGAACCTGCACAGCAAAGAAAGATAAGACTTCCAGGCTGGGTGCAGTGGCTCACGCCTGTAATCCCAACACTTTGAGAGGCCAAGGCGGGCAGACCACAAGGTTAGGAGATCAAGACAATCCTGGCCAACATGGTGAAACCCTGTCTCTACTAAAAATACAAAAATTAGCTGGGCATGGTGGCGGGCGCCTGTAATCCCAGCTATTCAGGAGGCTGAGGCAGGAGAATCACTTGAACCCAGGAGGCGGAGTTTGTAGTGAGCTGAGATCGCGCCATTGCACTCCAGTCTGGCAACAGATCAAGACTCTGTCTCAAAAAAAAAAAAAAAAAAAGACAAATCCAGAAATGCACACTAACTCCAAAGGGTTTCCTTTTAATCTTAAGACAGTTATCAGTCAGAGAGCTCAGGCATGAACCAAAATCTATGTTTGTGGAAAATGATACACAGACAACACTCACCACACAGGTGCATCACACTGACACGACACCACACGCATTCACCACATCGGCATCGTAAAGGGAAGCCCCAGTGACTACGGAACATTTGTGACTGTCTCTGGGAAGTTTTTCAAAAGGCCAGTTCTGAAAACTTCCACTAACAGCCTGGGAGGAACAGAACCTAGACTCACTCTCCCCCATGAAACAACTGAAAAAAACAGGCAAATATGTGAAGCAAAATGTTTTCAGAGCCTGGTCTCCGGCAGCGTGGTGCAGTGCTCCCTGAGAGACGTGAAACAAACGGGTTGAGACCTAGAGCTGCCGGAGCTCATGACCAGGAGAGAGTTTCCAGGATGCAGCACAGGGAAAAGGAATCCAGGCAGAACCACGGTTTCCTACAGCTGAGGAAACACAGCTGGGAGCCTGCTAGGCAAAGATGGCCATAAACCACAGGACGGAGTCCCAGACAGAAAGGAGCTGTACTTACGGTAGATTCCAACAATCCGCAGAAGATCCTCCTCCGGTATCTAGGTGTGAATGGATCAGAGGGGAAGGAGCTGAATTTACGGTAGATTCCAACAGTCCATGGAAGATCCTCCTCCAGTGTCTAGGTGTGAATGGATCAGAGGGGAAGGAGCTGAATTTACAGCAGATTCCAACAGTCCGTGGAAGATCCTCCTCCGGTATCTACGTGTGTACGGATCTGTGCAGGTGTGAGAGGCAAATACTCAAGGCCAGGGAAAGACCATCAGAAAGAGAAGCAGAAGTGACCCTTAGAGCTCATGCACAGGCAGGAATGTTGCCTGTTCCGCCAGTCAGAGCAGAGATCTCATGGCCCATGGGACGTGGAGTGGAGCACTCAGAAGGCTTTGCCACAGTAGGGGAGATAAACTCGTTCTAGGCTAAAAACTGTTCTGACCTTGCCTGAAACGTTCAAAGCAAGCCTCGGGAGAAACAAACTGTTTCCATGTAACTTAATTGCATTCCAGAACAAAGCTCAAGAATATTTGTAGGAAGACAAAAATGTCAATTATTTAACAAAGTAAACTCAGAATATCTGGCATGCAATCAAAAATTAGTGGGCATGCAAAAAAGAAAAAGAAAACGTAACCCAAAATGAGGATATAAATTAATCCATAGAAACAGATCTAGAAATGACAAAGAAGGTAGATTTAGCAGAAAAGGACATTAAAACAATTATTGTAACTATATTTTTATGTTCAAAATGGTAAAGAAAAGAGTGAGTATTAGGAGGAGACACATTGAAGATTTAAAAAAAAAAACACAAATCAAACTTCTAGAGATGAAAACTACAACGTCTGAGGTGAAAAGTACACTGGATGGGATCCCCGCAGATTAGACATTGAAGAAGAACAGATGCGTGAACCTGAAGACACAGCAACAGCAATAGAGACTGTACAAAATAAAACACACAGAAAAAAATACTTAAAAAATGGACAGAGCATCAGTGAGCTACAGGACAACTTAAAGTGCCCTAATGCGTGTGTAATATTAAGGCACTTTAAGTTGTAAAACAAGGATTTGAACAAGGTAAACCCACAAATCCAAGAATCTCAGTAAACCCCAAGCACAAGAAATATTAAGAAAACAACACCAAGTCACATTATAATCTAACTGCTCAAAACTTGTGTTAAAGAGAAATTTCTTAAAACCAACTAGAGGGAGGGAAAACTTCACATACAGAGGAATGAAGATAAGGATAAGGATGGATTTCTGATTGGAAACAATGCAAGTGAGAAGACCATGGAGCAACCTCTTTAAAGTGCCAACAGATTCTTTTTCTTTTTTTCTTTTTTCTTTTTTTTTTTTTTTTTTGAGACGGAGTCTTACTCTGTTGCCAGGCTGGAGTGCAGTGGTGCGATCTCGGGTCACTGCAACCTCCGCCTCCCAGGTTCAAGCAATTCTCTTGCCTCAGCCTCCTGAGTAGCTGAGTCTACAGGCATGCTCCACCACGCCTGGCTAACTTTTGTATTTTTAGTAGAGATGGGGTTTCACCATGTTGGCTAAGATGGTCTCAATCTCTTGACTTTGTGATCCACCCGCCTCAGCCTCCCAACGTGCTGGGATTACAGGCATGAGCCACTGCGCCCGGCCGAAAGTACCAACAGATTTTTAAAAAGTGTTAGAATTCTATACCCGAGAAAAGCATCTTTTAAAAATGGAGGTGAAATAGACTTTTTTAGGAATCCAAAGACTGAAAGATTTCATCAACAGTAGACAAATGTCATATGACATGTTAAAGGCAGTCGTCGGACAGAAGGACAATCTGAAGCTGGACAAAGGAATAAAAAGTATTGGAAATGGAAAATATGTGGACGAATATTAAAAACTTACTTTTAAAATATCCTTAAAAGATAACCAACTGCTTAAAACGAAAAGAAAAAACCTAATGATGTATTGTGAGGTTTAAAAATGTGTGAGGTTGGCCAGGTACGGTGGCTCACACCTGTAATCCCAGCACTTTGGGAGGCCGAGACGGGCGGATTGCTTGAGCTCAGGAGTTTAAGACCAGCCTGAGCAATGTAGCAAAACCCCATCTCTACAAAAAATACAAACAATTAGCCGGGCATGGTGGCACATGCCATAGTTCCTGCTACTCGGGAGGTTGAGGTGGGAGGACCTCCTGTGCCCGAGAGGTCAGGGTGGCAGTGAGCCATGATCGTGCCATTGCACTCCACAATCCAGCCTGGATGACAGAGTAAGAAAGACCCTGTCTCAAAAAAAAAAAAAGTGTGAGGTTTAAAAACGTGTGAGTTTTAAAAATGTTTGACAACAGCAAAAAAGGTGTGAGAGGGGATGGAAAGATGCTATTTTAATATCACATTACTGCGTAAGTTAAAGATACATACTATTTATCTTAAAGCTACAAATAAAAGAAAAAACAAGAATTATAGCTAATAAGCCAACAAAGAAGATAAATGGAATTAAAAACACAATGCAAAAGAAGGCAGAAAAAAGAAAAAATAACAGATGGAACAAATATAAGAAGAAAAGTAAGATAATAGATTTAAACCCAATCATATTAATAATCACAGTCATGTTCTAATTGCCCAAACAATTCAACTGGGGCAGAGATTATATGATTAGATAAGAAAGCCAGACTCAACTTTATGTTGCTGACAGGGAAAAACACTTTAAATATAAATATATAAAATTGGCTTAAAATCAAAAGATGGAAAAATATATACCATCGCACTATTCAAAAGATGGCCAGAGTGGCTATTACAATATCAAAGTAGATATCAGATAAGTAACATTGTAAGAAATAAAGAGGATTTTTTATAATAATAAAGGGATTAGTTCATCAAGAGATCTTAACAACCCTAACCATGTACGCACCTAATAAAGCTTCAAAATACATGAAGCAGAAACAGCTAGAATGTAAGGAGAAGTACACAAACCAACAATTACAGTCAGAGAGTTCAACACCTCATTTCAATAACTGATAGAACAAATTGATAGACAACTTAGTAAAGGCAGACAAGACTTGAAGGATACTATCAGCCAAATTAATATTTATCAAATATGTCACCCAGCAACAGGAGAATACACATTCTTTTCATCTGTACACAAACAATTTACCAAAATAGGCCGTATTCTGGGTCATAAAACAATTCCCGGCCGGGTGCGGTGGCTCATGCCTGTAATCTCAGCACTTTGGGAGGCTGAGTTGGGTGGATCACGAGGTCAGGAGATCAAGACCATCCTGGCTAACATGGTGAAACCCCGTCTCTCCTAAAAAAATACAAAAAAAATTAGCCGGGCGTGTGGTGGGCACCTGTAGTCCCAGCTACTGGGGAGGCTGAGGCAGGAGAATGGCATGAACCCGGGAGGTGGAGCTTGCAGTGAGCCAAGATCGCACCACTGCACTCCAGCCTGGGTGACAGAGCGAGACTCCGTCTCAAAAAAAAAAAAAAAAAAAAATTCCCAATAAATTTGAAGGTTTCACTGCATCATGGTATGTTCTCTGGCCAATCGGAAATATATCAGGTATTAATAATACAAAGATTTCTGAATAATCTCTAAATATTTACAAACTGAAAACAGATATCTGAATAACCCACCAGTCAAAGAAACGACGAACAAGGAAATTAGAAAGTATTTTAAACTGGTTGAAGATGAAAACACAATTTGAGATTCTTTTTCTGCCTTCTCTGGTTTTAACTGAGCATCTTACATGATTCTGTACACATTCCATGTATTTCTTTTCTTTGCATATCAATTTTTATTAAAAAATTTTTAAGGTGTTTTCCTAGAGTTTGCAATATACACTTACAACTAATCTAAATCCACTTTCAAATAACGCTATGTTGCTCCACATACAAGTATCTTGTAACAGAATATTCCCAGTCCTCTCCCATCCCTTACCACATTGCTGTCATTTGTTTTACTTACCTATATGCTATAATCACCCAATATCATTATAATTATTACTTTTAATAAATAGTTGTATTTTAGATCAACTAAGAATAAGGGGGGGAGGATTTTATATTTATTCATCCTCAAACACTTAGTTTCTTTATATAGATTCAAGTTTCTGACCTATATAATTTCCTTCTTCCTAAGGAACTTCTTCTAATATTTCTGGTAGAGCATGTCTGCTGGTGATTAATTCTCTCCATTTTTATTTGTCTGAGAACATTTTTATTTTTCCCTTACGCTGAAGAATAATTTTACTGGATATAGAACTCGAAGTTGGTGGAGTTCTTTCAACATTTTAAATATTTCACTCTGCTCTGTCCTTAGTTAAATGTAGACACAAAAATTCTCAAATTATGCCCAACAACATATAAAAAAGAAACTCCACTGTGACCTACTGGTGTTTATGCCAAGAATGTAAGGTTGGTTTAGCAATGGAAAGTCAATCAATGGAATTCACCACAATAAACATAAGGAAAAATCATGTGGTCAATAGATACAGAAACACATTCCTGATAAATCTTAAAAGCATAAGACTCAGTGAAAGAAGTCAGGCAGAAAACACTACACACTATATAACCCCAATGATGTGACATTCTGGAGAAGGCAAAACCATTGTGCTAGTAAAAAGATCAGTGGTAAAGAGTTTGTGGGAAGGGCTGGAGGACTGAATAGCTAAAGCACGGGAGATTATTTAGGGCAGTTATTCTGTATGATAGTGTATTGGTGGATATGTGATATTATAAACTTATCAAAAACCTGTGAAACTTTACAGTACAAAGAATACACCCCATTGTATGCAAATTTAAAAACCATTTAGGAAGCTCAAGGACCTCAGGATGGAATCCAGAATGTGACAAAACCATCTAACTGTATTACAAACGCATGGAACATCCTCACTGAAGGGAGTGGGGGAACAGCACTGACCTAGTTCAGAATGAGTGGAGTCTTTAAGACTAAAGGCAAAGGAACAGTACGTAAGCACTGGACTCTAGCTGACAAAGTTGTCTCCCAGTGAGGTGTGAATTAACAGTTCTGACACTACCATAATATTGTCTTAGTCTGTTTTCTGTTGCTATAACTGAATGCCTAAGACTAGGTACTTTATAAAGAAATCTATTTCTTACCATTCTGGAAGCTGGGAGGTCCAAGGTCAGGCGGCTGCATCTGGTGAGGGCCTTCTTGCTAGTGGGGACCCTCTGGAGAGTCCCAGGTGGCACAGGGCATCAGATGGTGAGGGTCTTACAAGAGATGGCCAGACTCGCTTTTACAACAGACCCATTCTTCTGAGAAGTAACTCACTCACTCCCGGCATAACCCATTCATCCATGAACTGATTAATCCAATCACCTCTCAAAGGTCCTGCCTCTCAACGCTGCTTCACTGGGGATCAAGTTTCAACACACGAACTTTTGGGGAACACATTCAAACCACAGCACATGTATACTGAAAATTGAACAATTAAATACATGGATAGCAGATGGTAGGAGCCAGGTTTCTCACTATTAGGAGGTTACAGAAGCAAGAGGAGGCAGCTGGGATGACCCACATGGTGCTAGATTTGAGTTGGAGACATTGGTATGAACTGATGTTTAGCCCTGTATAGATTTCTACGGCTACCTAGAGAAGTATTTTAGATATGCATATATACATGGTTAATATATGCACATATATTTTCTCCTCTGTGAGCTGAGAGGGTTTGGCAGCAACAACACCTCAATAGCTATAAGCACATCTCATGCTCAGATCTCGGTTTCCAATATGCTTCTTCAATGAAAGGAACCAGGGTTCCTTGGAGAACTGGTGGATTCCAGAGCTGGGGCCAGTAATATACAAGATGAGACTAGAACATCTTGTACTAAAATGTAGTAATAAAATGCCAAAACAAACCTCAGATTGATGGGCTATGTCAAAGGGCTACAGGAGTTGACTGGAAGAGCTCCTAACGGGCAATGCTGGAACAGTGTGAGCAACAAAATCAAGAAGTGTTATTGCACTGTGACCCAAGTGTAAATACCCACAAGTCCACGCCAATCTAAATAAAGGATGCAATAACATATCCACAAATAAATGAAGGAGAAGAGACAAATCTGCATGGAGGAATGACAAATAATTTATGTAGACACTCTGCCTCAGAGGGGGCGTAACTCCCCAGTTCTTGCGTGCAGGCTGGGCACAGCAACTTCCCTCCAAGACGGACTGTTCCGGAAGGGGAAAGAACACTCTCAGCAAGGAAGCGGACAAGCTGTCTTAGCCAGGTGATGAAAGTCCTCATCAATGGTGACAATCATGCTGGTCATACGGATCCTTGACATGATTGTCTGAAGATGGTGGGTTACCTCAATGGTCTTCTTTCAAAACCCCATATTCCCAGTTTAATCATGAGAAAACCTCAGACGCCAGCAGATCCCAACTGAGAGACACTCTGCAGAATACCTGCCCAGTCCTCCTCAAAACTGACAAGGCCATCGAAAGTAAGAAAAGCTTGAGAAGCTGTCACAGCTAAGAGAAGCCTATGGGGACGAGATAACTAAACGTAGCATGGGATTCTGAACAGGATCCTGGGGCAGAAAAGGCGCCTTAGAGAAAAACTAATAATATCTGAATAAAGTGGGGACTTTGGAGAGCGACAATGTATCAGTATTGGTTCATGAATTGTAACAAATGTATCCTAGTAATGGAAGATGTTTATGAGGGAAACTGTGGGTACCAGGTATGTGGGAACTCTCTGTACCATCTTCACAATTTTTCTGTAAATCTGAATCTGTTACGAAGAGTACTTTAAGGTGGCTCACACCTGTAATCCTAGCACTTTGGGAGGCTGAGGTGGGTGGATCACTTGAGGTCAGGAGTTCAAGACCAGCCTGGCCAATATGGAGAAGCCCCATCTCTACTAAAAATACAAAAATTAGCCAGGCATGGTGGCGGGTACTTGTAATCCCAGCTACTTGGGAGGCTGAGGCAGGAGAATTGCTTGAACCAGGGAGGCAGAGGTTGCTGTGAGCTGGGATCGCGCCACTGCACTCCAGCCTGGGTGACAGAGACTCCATCTCAAAAGAAAAAAAAAAGGATTTAAAAATAAATAAAAGGAAAAACTACACTAGAAAAAATAATAAACAGTTTAGTTATGGCAAATAAGCACATGAAAGAGTGTCATTATTCATGAGGGAAACGGAAATTAAAACCCGGTAAGATGGCTGGGGCGCAGTGGCTCACGCCTGTCATCCCAGCACTTTGGGAGGCCAAGACGGGCGGATCACGAGGTCAGGAGATCAAGACCATCGTGGCTAACATGGTGAAACCCCGTCTCTACTAAAAATACAAAAACTTAGCCGGGTGTGGTGGCGGGCGCTTGTAATCCCAGCTACTCAGGAGGCTGAGACAGGAGAATTGCTTCAACCTGAACCTGGAAGGTGGAGGTTGCAGTGAGCCGAGATAGCACCCACTGCACTCCAGCCAGGGCAACAGAGCGAGACTCCATCTCCAAAAAAAAAAAAAAAGAAGTAAATGACCAATCCGCATGACTTGGTGAAGGAGTGACCGGCCCGTGCAATGCTGTGAATAAATGTCAAAGCAATTGTGCTCATGACTGAGGCCAGTCTAACAACAGAGTCTTGCTCTGTCATCCAGGCCGCAGTGTGGTGGCACAATCTCGGCTCACTACAACCTCCACCTCTCTGATTCAAGTGATTCTCCTGCCTCAGCCTCCCCAGTACCTGGGACTACAGGTGTGCACCACCATGCTTGGGTAATTTTTGCAATTTTAGTAGAGACAGGGTTTCACCATGTTGGCCAGGCTGGTCTCGAACTCCCTACCTCAGGTGATCCGCCCGCCTCGGCCTCCCAAAGTGATGGGATGACAGGTGTGAGCCACTGTGCCTGGCCCCCTGAGTCCATTTCTATACAACTCTAGAAGGTGGAGATCCATCAGTAGCTCTGGAAACAGACCGACAGCTGCCTGGGGACAAGGGAGCAGTGTAAGAGAATCTGAGGCGGAGGAAGAGATTTTGGGGTAAATATGTTCATGACCTAGATTTTAGTGACAGTTTCAGAAGTGCCTACGTATCATATTGTGTACTTTAAATGTGTGCAGTTAATCTGTGCTCTCAATAAAGCGAAGCCAGGGTGCGGGAAGCAAGTAGGAACCCCAGAGTTGGAAATATGGGTTTTAGAGTAAAGTCTGTGGATTGTTGGTGTTACAGAGGGACCACAGCACTGTCTTTAGCATTCACCCCGGAAGTGTGTGGGTTTTTTCTGGAGTTTAAAATGATTAATTCTCCAGTCTATAAACACAGACCGTCCACAGTGGCACATTCCAACAGAAGCCCTGTCATCGGAGCGGATTTCATTTCACCCAATCTTGTTACACAACAAACAGCTTGCATTGAATAAGTCATAATTTTTAAGACAAATATGTCTTCTAAATTCTCTTAGAAAGCGTCTCATGTTTAAAAAATAACACTGCTAATAGCTGACTTCTCCTCAGCAGGCTGAGTGGAAACATGCCCCGCTGAACTTCTTGGCAGGAAGATGGCAGCCCAAGTTGCTGTCCTGATGGGGGGAACACATTTGGTCTCCAGCACTCAGATGGAAATTTCCAGAGACCTTTTTATCCCTTCGTCACATCTTTAATTTTTCAAATAGGCCTCTCTCTTGCTCCAGTTGCCAGGTTAACAAAGCTGCCAAGGCCAAGCAGAAACTGGCAAGCGTCCCCAGAGACGCATCTTAGTCTTCAACATAAACCAGACCTGATTCCGCCCGCTCTGCTGTCTCCAGCCACCTCCGTCCACGGGCAGCCAGCACAGGCACCTGGGAGGCCTAATCGGATCGCGGCTCCCGGAGGGTCACTAATCAGATTGTTTTGCCTGCCGTGTTCCTGTCAAAGCGAATGTGCAGCGTTTCCAGACGGACGCTCTCTTTAAAAGCACACGCTCCCCTCCTCACTCCAGTTAGAAAAAAACGGAGTGTGCAGGTGCATTGTGACTCATGAAATCGCTCTTCGCTCAAAGGTCTGTTAACAGACTTTGTTTTGGGTCAGATTCGGTTCTACAAACTGCTACCTGTGACCCTGACAGCATGATTTACTCTCTCTGGGCCCCAACCTCCCGCGCCCTGTGGTCGAAGCGTCCCCTTCCTATCTACCATCGTGGGGCTCTTCGGACTCTGATTCGGTGTTTCTACAAAGTACACGAAAAAGAGACCGTTTATTTTCTATCGTGTGAAAGAAAGAAGCAACTGCAGAGGACACCAGCAAGGCTGCAGGTCTTGTGTGGGTCCCTGCAGCTTTCCTTCCAGGGAGAACAGGTAAAAGTTTCCTCCAGCATGAACGTCCAGCTGTGCAAAAGTCAAAGGCCAGCTATTAGGTACAGCAGACAGAGCAGCCCCAGGGACTGCTGTGAGAGGAGGGAGGAGACTTGAACCCTGGGCTGAGAGATGTGTTGGAGGATGACTTAACACTGTGGAAAGGACAGAAGCTGGCGAAGAGGGAGGAGACTTGAACCCTGGGCTGAGAGATGTGTTGGAGGATGACTTAACACTGTGGAAAGGACAGAAGCTGGCATGGGGGGCTGGAGGAGGCAAGGCCCTGGCTCAGCCCTGAAGTCGTGACAGCTTGTGGCCAGCCCGATGCCTGGTTCCTACCTGGGGAGGGGGCTGCATGGAGTCTGGGTTTGCAGGCCAACTGCCTATTCTTAGGGTGCAGCGACTTCCCCGTTATGCTGGGTGCGCACACTCCCCTGCTGGAGGGGTGCCCTGATGCTCTGAGCCAGTCAGCACAGCCTCCTCACTGATCCCAGCTTCCAGGGGATGGCCCTTCAGCCATTAGGGCAGTCTAGGACAGAAGCTTGCGCTGTCGCTGGTGTGGGGTGTGGGTGTGAAGCCTGGAACTACTGCAGTTACTTTTTTATTTTTGACACAGAGTCTCGCCCTGTTGCCCAGGCTGGAGTGCCGTGGAGCGATCTCGGCTCACTGCAACCTCCGCCTCCCCAGTTCAAGCAATTCTCCTGTCTCAGCCTCCCCAGTAGCTGGAATTAAAGGCACATGCCACCACACCCAGCTAAGTTTTGCATTTTTAGTAGAGACGGGGTTGTACCATGTTGGCCAGGTGGCCTGGAACTCCTGACCTCAAGTGATCCGCCCACCTTGGACTCCCAAAGTGCTGGGATTATAGGCGTGAGCCACTGTGCCCAGCTACTACAGCTACTTTGATACCAGGAGGGAAACAACCCTGAGAATAAGACAGATGGGTGAAGCACGGCATGGCAGAGATTTGTAGATAAATGTTACTGGAACCCTGATCACATTGTACCTGAAGCCTGCTCTCCTCTGGACTTTCTAGTTATGAGTCAATATTAATCAACAAATTCATGTTTAAGCTGGTTTGAGTTGGGCATTCTTGAAACATAAAAGTCCCCATCTGATGCCAGCACTAAATGGAACATTCTTAGTACTAGAGAGGACATCAAGCTCTCAGGTTGCTAAAGTTGTCTTTCTGTGGGCTCATACATGCCAATGATAACAATATAATAATACAGTGCCTGACCGTACCTGGGGTAGTGCCAAGGTCTCCACGGGCAGGAACTTGCTTCGTCTTCCCGATAGCATTATGGGCGGGAGCTGTAATTAGCTCCATCTTGCAGAGGAGGAAACAGGCTTACAGAGGGGCAAGCTTCACGCGCTTCCCTGGGTCCTGCTTTTCTTTCTTCCCACGAAGAGACAACCTGGGGTAGGGCAGGGGGTGGGGGATTGAGGACAGGCCAGCTTTGGTTTCTTTTGGTAAACTTTTTCCGTGTTTTTTTTTTCTTCTTCATTAGACACACGTAGGATGTTTCCAAAATCCGTGTGATTCAAGTGCATTCCCAGCATGTGTCTGTGTTTCTTTGCTTTGACTCCTTAAAGCAACACAGGGCACGTCCCCATCTGCGTCAACAGATCCTTCCGAGGCCTGAGGAAAACATTTCCACTTATGTTTTCAGTTATTTTTCTTTCCATTCAAATGTTTTTGTTTATTCCTCAAAAATGTCTAGAGCCCTTACTTGAGTGGGACTCTGTCTCCTCCAAGGATGTTGGCTGCTTTCACTCTCCCTCGGTGCAGTGCGACATCTCTGCCTTGGCCTCCAGGTCTGGTCTGTGACTGGCTCCCAGGAAGCGCCTCCTGGCCTTGTGACCTGCATTTCTCTGGAACTCAGCTGTAGCCCTTGCTTTTTATCTCACTCACTTCTTTTCGTGGCTTTTTGCTTCATTGTGGTGGATGCCGAGGCTTCCGGCCCTCGCCCATTCTGTTTGTCACAGCCCAGAAGTTTTAGGTGGGACCGCCTTCTACCTGCTGGGCTGAGGGGCCTTCGAATGGCCTCATGGTGGTTTATTCTCTGCCTTTCAATGTTTTTCCATTTTGCTTGTTCCCACAGTGTAAAGGCCAGCAGCGGCCGCACACCCTGCGTTTCAGTTTCTCAGCCTCTGCCGGGCTCTCCTCGCTGGCCGCATCTCCCCCTGCAGAGCCACCCGTGCTAACAGGCCAGACTGGCGGCCGCGCCGACCACCTGGGAGAGACGTCCCACACCTGCGCCCTGGCAGGACAACGAAGCCAAAGAGGCGGTGGGCGTTCCAGTGGGTGCTCCGGCCACCCTCCTCCCCCTCCGGACTCCATTCTTCCCAGGGCTGTGTCCTGGGCCTCACTTCCTGCCCTGAGCAGCCTGCCCCACCCCGGCCCGGCTCTCACGGCCCCTCTGCTCACGTCCAGGGCCTCGGACTGCCCATGTGTGGGAGGGGTCGGCTCTATCAGGTGGTTCTGACCTCGGTGAGCCCTGGGGCTGTGGGATGTCACCCCTGGCCCCACAGGAGGCCATCGGTTGGGGCCTGTTTTTCTCTCTTGGCTCCAAGTTTCAGGGCTTGCGTGCTTCTTTTTCACAATGTTAAACTGATCTTGGGGGGAAGCTGCAGACTCCCTGCTGTGCCCTCCTGAGAGAGTGGTGAACAGTCCCAAGTTTTAGATTCCATCCTTTTTCCCGAGAGTGGGGGAAATCCACTAACTGCCCAGCGCTTCTTATGGGGACCAGGGCCTGAGGAGGACTTGGCGCTGTTCTTGGGCCCGGGGCTGTGGGTGGCCAGCTGGCTGCAGCTGTGTGGGCCGGGAGGACCTCCCTGAACTCTGTGCTCCCTGGGGGTGCGCAGGCGCCCGGCCCCACCCCCACTTCAGTGAGCAGCCAAGTATCGGGCAGTGCCCCTCATCCTGGGGCAGAGAACACCGACGAGGGCCCCACCCCCAGGCAGAGGCAGTGGGCACTGTTTGGAGAGTCGCAGGGCCACAGGGCTGGCAGGAAGCGGGTGGAGGCCCTGCCCCAGCATGACAAGTGTGTCTTCCACACACCCCCCACCACGCAGTCTCCCCTGGAGTGCCTGGCTGGATCACTTGATGCCCGCAGGATGAGGAGTCAGCCCAGCTCCTGCCTCTGGTGATGGGGACTTTCAGGTTGTTGGTGGTTCAGGTTTTTCTGTTTTAGCTCCTACCTCATTAAAAATTATAAGAATAATTTAAAAGCCCTCTGGGTTTCTGTAGGTTGGTGGACATTCTGTGCGGAAAACACCTGCCTGACCGTAAGCACTTCTGAGGATGACCCAGCCCCACGAAGCAGCATACAGTGTGCACCACTGGGTCCCTTCTGTCTCCTTAGGGAACAAAGAACCCCCGCATTCACAAGGTGGCCCCAAAGCGTGACCCGCTCCAGAAAGCAGCACCCCCCCAGCGGGTGGGAGAGGCCCTGCCCCGTGTGTCCCGGCTGGCCCTGTGTGTCCTGGCTGGCCCCGTGCAGACGGGCAGACGGGCACTGCAGATGGGCAGCCACCGCCTTTGCTGGACGAGTACTTCCCACGTCCACTTAGCTGGGCACAGGAGCTCACCTGTGCCCTCCAGTGGGGGCGTGGTGCGTAAGCAGTGCCCGGGGGCCACGGTGGGGGGCTCCTGGATTTGCCTCCAGAGACAACAGGATGGAAATTTGGTTCCGAGAATTTTATGTACATGTGGGTAGTTGAGGTTAATTAGCTTCTACTAAAATGCACAAACCAGGTGTCTACTTCTGGGTTCTGATAACTTCATGCACGGGGGCACCCACCACCCAGAGCAGGCCGGGCTGTTTCCCCACGAAGCTCCTTTCCCACCAGTTCCCCACCTGCTGCTGGACGGGCCCCAGGAGGATTCTTCGCTTCCCTCGGTGGGTTTCTTCACTTCCCTCCCTGCAGGTGGGTTTCTGTTCCTGATGTGGGGATAGTGGTCTTCTCGCTGCTGAGAGGGCTTCGAATGCACCACAGCTAGATGGACAGACATCAGTGAAACTGCCGCCAACAGACTTGGCCCTTGCAGCATCCATCCCCAGGAGGAACTTGCAGCCTCCACCCCGGCCCCCTGGGCCTTCTCCCAGTGCCTCCTGGAGGCCCCTGCCCGGCGCCCCTGCTCATCCTGCCCTTGTCTACAGCTGCGTGAGCTGCAGATGCAGGAGGACCCTGGGACGAAGCTCCCTGCCCTGCCCCCTTGCCCCCTCACGTGGCACCCTGGCCCAGCTCATTCCCCTGCCTGCAGGGCCGGTGCTGTGAGCAGCTCTGGGGTCATGGCTTGGTTTCTCCCTGGCAAACTGGTGCCTTCACAGCTGATTTATATTTCAAACATGGACGCCATCTCCCTGGCCCCTCACACCGCGTTAGCGGCCCAGCCTGTATTCCATTAGCTGATTAAGCCTTTTCTTGTCCTTCATTTGTTAGAAATAGAAGTTGGCTGAACCCCCCAAGCTTTCACCAATAACATCTTTTTTTGTCCTTTGTTTCCGTCTTCCTCTCGTTGACAATAAAAGTCTTCTCTCCTTCTTCAGAGACACTGGCTGTCCTTCTGCCCCACCCAGCCCCCGGTCCCTGCCAGGGAAAGGTGCGCCCCCCGGAACCACCTGGGAAGGACACTGCGGGGCCTGTGAGCTTGTTCAGCTGCTGGCTCAGCTCAGCTGGAACCTCCAAAATGAGGCTGAAGCTGCCTGGGGTATGCTCCTGGTTTCCATGGGTCTTCGGGGCCATCAACCTACAGGTCGATTTTGAGGGTGAGACAACCCTTGAGTTCCCCCTGGGGCAGGGCCAGGGGCCGGGAATAAGAGGTGGCATCTGGGGAGCTGCCCGTGGCAAGGGATGCTGCAGAGAGAGACGAAAGGTCAGTTCCCACCTCTCCCCAGACAGCCTCGGGCTGTACAGGAAAGCGTGCCACGGCACCAAGCAATGCTTGACACTGATTCACGCCTCTGAACACATGATGCCATCCCTTCTCACGGTGAGGAGGACCCGTCAGAGCGACCCGGGCCCATGCACCATCCCACCCCTGACACAGGGCAGCCCGTGCCTTCCTGCCAGTGGCTGCAGTGGTCTGGGCGAGCAGCCCTCACCTCGCAGGAAGCAGTGCTTGCCTGCCTCTTATGGCTTCTGGCCCAGGGGTTACATCTCTCTGGACCACGTGGCACTGCCTGGGCACTCCTTGGAGGGGCTTCAGCTGTGCAGACACCCCTGCTGAGGACGCCTCCTCACTAGCCCCCCAGGCACTCCCAGGGTGGGGGGCTCTGTTTAGTGCTGCTGGCTCTGGGCCACAAGCCACCCAGCTGGCTGGCAGCTCCACCACACCAGGGAGTGATTGGCACTTTTCGGCAGGAAGAAGAGGGCAGCTGTGCCGGATCCGCAAGATTTCACGGAATCAGAAAGTCCTTCCTGAACTCCGTTCAACAAGAATCCAGACGCTCAATTGGACCCATGAGGTTTCAAAGTTGCCAAGGCTGTGAGCCCCAGGAGTTAGAGGGTGAGGGTCCTGCCCAGCTGGGAAGCCACGTGGCCCAACGGCCAGGACACAAGATGCCATGGGGCAAGCACTCTGCCTCTGTGGGCCCTCCCTCCACAAAACATCAAAAATCCTGTTTTACGTCTGTGTTGATAAGAAGCCCAAATGTGCTAATATTATATATGAAAACATTTTATTTGATCTAAAATTTCTTTTTTCTTTTCTTATGATTTAAAAGTAATTACAACAGTGTTGTGGGCTCTGAGTTGGCCTGGGGGAGGCTGGGGGTGACTAGGGAGGTGGCTACTGGGGGCCCCTGAAGGACCTGGAGGAGCTTGGCGACTCCGGTGGTGAGAACCAGGGCAGGAGGACCACCGGGTGACAGGCAGGAGAGGCAGGACAATCCACCTGCTCAGGGGGCCCGGGTGGGCTGCGTGGGGTGCATCCCGGCTTAGGAAAGGGCCTCGACAGCTGGCCATTGCACAGCCCCGTGGCAGGTGGGTGGAGGGTTGCTGATCTGACCCTCAGATCCTGCCCACGTGACCCTGGATGCCTGGAGCTAGGGCACAGCCAGGCCCCGCCATGGGGCTGGAGGTGAGCTTTGCACGTGCTTGGACTCCCCAGGGTCAGGTGAGTGGTGACAGTGACCAAGTCTGCACTTGGGGTCATGTGAGTGGTGACCGTGATGTCTGCACTAGCTTTTGGGGAAGGTGCGTGGTCTCACACCCAAGGTGGGGAAGAAGGTTTGGCATGGCCTGGAAAGTTCCTGAGCCTTCACTGCCCTTCAGGGAGCCTGGGAGGGGCCTGGGGGACTGGGGCTGGTGTGGTCTCCACTCGGGACCTGCACGCGCCCCAGGCAGGCAGCGAGGCCAGCAGGCAGAGGTGGGTGAGTGTCCTCGCCGTGTGACTCTGGCCCGTCCTTAGCCACGGGGGCTCCTGTGTGGGTAGCTGTCGCAGGCCCACTCCTCCTTTCCGAACCCCAGAATCGATTTCCTGGTGGAGGTGTGAGGACGCGTCGCAGCTGTCTCTCTCTGAACCTGCTGCAGGTTCTGGCCCGAGTGCCTGGATGCCAGACACCCGCGAGCTCTGCATCAGACCCGCCTGCCTGGGCAGCCTGGGGCTCACCTCTTGTTTGTCTTTCAACCTGAGCTGGCCCTGAGCCAGTTTGTACAAAGAGTCTGTCGCTTTGATGGGACTTTTCCCTGGCACTGGCTGGATGTCCAATCACCACCCTGCACCCACATCCCTCCCACTCAGCCTGGAGCTCTGCACTCAAGTGCTGCGTCTTCAGGGTGTCTCTGCCAAACTCCACTCGAATCAGGACTCCAGCTGCCACGATGTGCATTCCCAGCCCTGGTCCCTCCCTGCCCTGACAGGGTTCCCCCCACCCCGCTCCCAATCCAGACAGGGTTCCCCCCGCCCCGCTCCCAATCCAGACAGGGTTCCCCCTGCCCCGCTCCCAATCCAGACAGGGTTCCCTCCACCCTGGCCTGCAGTTCCTGGAGAGGAGTGCTTCCGGGGGAGGAGAGGGTCACCTCTTGTGCACAGCACCCCTGGGATGCGGGTGCCCCTGGGATGCGGGTGGCCCTGGGATGCAGGTACCCCTGGGATGGGGGTGCCCCTGAGATGCGGGTACCCCTGGGATGCGGTGGCCCTGGGATGGGGGTGCCCCTGGGATGAGGGCAGCCCTGGGATGCGGGTACACCTGGGATGGGGGTACCCCTGGGATGCGGGCGCCCCTGGGACGTGGGCGGCCCTGGGACGGGGGTGCCCCTGGGATGGGGGTGCCCCTGGAATGGAGGCGCCCCTGGGATGCGGGTGGCCCTGGGACACGGGTGCCCCTGGGATGGGGGTGCCCCTGGGATGCAGGCGGCCCTGGGATGCGGGTACCCCTGGGATGGGGGCGCCCCTGGGATGCGGGCAGCCCTGGGATGCAGGTGCACCTGGGATGGGGGTGCCCCTGGGATGGGGGTGCCCCTGGGATGCGGGCAGCCCTGGGATGTGGGTGCCCCTGGGATGGGGGTGCCCCTGGGATGCGGGTGGCCCTGGGATGCCGGTGCCCTGGGATGGGGGTGCACCTGGGATGCAGGTGCCCCTGGGATGGGGGTGCCCCTGGGATGCAGGCGCCCCTGGGGTGGAGGTGCCCCTGGGATGCGGATGCCCCTGAGATGTGCTTGCCCCTGGGATGGGGGTGTCCCTGGGATGCGGGCAGCCCTCGGATGCGGTTGCCCCTGGGATGCGGGTGCCCCTGAGATGTGCTTGCCCCTGGGATGTCGGTGCCCCTGGGATGGGGGTGCCCCTGGGATGCGGGTGCCCCTGAGATGTGCTTACCCCTGGGATGGGGGTGCCCCTGGGAGGCGGGTGCCCCTGGGATGGGGGTGCCCCGGGATGCGGGTGGCCCTGGGACGCGGGTGCCCCGGGATGCGGGTGCCCCTGAGATGCGGGTGCACCTGGGATGTCGGATGCCCCTGGGATGTCAGATGCCTCTGGGATGTCGGTGCCCCGGGATGCCGGTGCACTTGCCTCTGACGTCCTTCCCAGTGAGCAACTTCAGCCACTTGACCTTTGGCCACTCGTGCAAACTCTGGCCACTGCTTCATTTCCATGTGAGCCAAGGAGACCTTCCTGGTGGCGGGGACTGGGAAGGCACAGTGGAAGCCCTGCACACTGCGAGGTTCTGCCTGGAGATGCCAGCACTGAATGGAGAGTCGAGGTACATGAACAGTGGGTATGACGGCATGCAAAGCCAGCAGCCCTGTTCCAGAACTGTCTTCAGGTTCCTGCACAGGCCCAAGACCTCTGGTGCCAGCTGCACCCTCCTTGTTGGGCATCTGGCCATTGAGGGGGGGCAGTTGGAATGTGAGGCTGGGGTTCAGCTGCAACAGACACGTGCCCAGTGCCGGCCGCCAGCTTCCACATTCGCTCATTCGTTCTACACACTTTCTCGGAGGTCCTCTGTGCTGCCAGGGCAGGCTGGGTGTGTGAAAAACAGGCCCCAAGGTACAAAAGGGCTCAAGCATAACAGTGGTTATGGGGTCCCAGATGGGGTCCCTGGCTAGCTGGTGGCTGAGCCCTGCTGTCTCCTGAGCCTGACGGAGACACAGCTGCCTCTAAAAGCCTCTGAAAGCGGAGTGGACTGCGTCTCTCCTGCCAAGTGCTGCTGGTGAGGACCAGTCTCAGGGCCACACATGCCCAAGGCTTTCTGGATGGCAGTCATATCCCTGCCAGACTCCCCACGGGGCGCAGGAGGAGCTAGTCACGGTCTCCACCCCATTCCAGGTGCTTTAGCCGCCCTGCAGCTGTGACCGCAGGATGAGAAGGGCAGGATGCCGCCCCAGGAACGCACGCCTGGCAGGGGGCAAATCCCAGACGGCGAGGACGGGGCAGGAGGCCCAGCAGCGCTGGGAGGGTGGGGATGAGCCGGGAGGAGGTGACGCAGCAATCCCAGTGGGAATCTCTGTCGGAGACAGGCCGGTGCCCCACGCCATTCAGTGAGTGCGAAGCCAGGTGTGAACTGCAGCAGACATGAAGGGAAGGCAGTGACGAATTCTCACCTCCCTCGTCAGGCGCCTGCTTGGATTTGAATGTGGGCTCAGAGAAGGCCTTGGGTGAGCAGGGTCAACACGAGGTGGGCGTTGGACCTGCACTGTCTTTCTGGCACAGCAAAGCCACTGACTGGGCCTCCGGGGTGATCACCGGCGGCCTGCGCCCAGACGGATTTCAGAATTGCTATGGGCTGGTGGCCACTCGCACCCGTGCCCCTCTTGGGAGTGGGGAGTGCTATTTGCAGCTACTCTGTCCCATTGTAGACTAGGGGGATCCACACCTGTGAAGCCTCAGCCTCACCTGGACCCCATGTGGATGAGGAGATCATGAACTGGGAGCGATATTCTGGGGGATGCGGCACCGGGGCTTAGAGCAGGGTGAGTGCACCCTACGTGCCGGCACATGATTCACTGTGGCCAGTGTGTTCCCCAGAGATAGCTGCCACAGCCCTCACCCCATAACGTGGCCCCGAGTCCGGTGTGCCCCACGGCTGGGCTGATGGGCAGCCTGCACCAGAGCCACCTGTCCTCGGGAACTGGCTTATGGCCGCCCCTTCCTGCTGTCTAGAAGCTCCTGCCACGCAGGAAGTCCATCTACCCGAGACCCCCCTACTGGGTGGAGCCCAGGCTCATGGAGAGGCCTGGGGGGTGGGCTTCCATGTGGGGAGAGGGAGCCCAGGGTTGGGGGGACACCAGACAAGCAAGAAGGAGGCCACTTTGGAAGGGGACTGTCAGCCCAGCCCAGCCGTTTGTTTTTTTTTATTTTTTTGGAGACAGAGTCTCGCTCTGTCGCCCAGGCTGGAGTGCAGTGGCTCGATCTCGGCTCACCGCAAGCTCTGCCTCCCGGGTTCATGCCATTCTCCTGCCTCAGCCTCCCGAGTAGCTGGGACTACAGATGCCCACCACCGCACCCAGCTAATTTTCTGTATTTTTAGTAGAGACGGGGTTTCACCGTGGTCTTGATCTCCTGACCTCGTGATCCGCCCACCTCGTTCTCCCAAAGTGCTGGGATTACAGGCATGAGCCACCGCACCTGGCCCAGCCCAGCCTTTTTAACTGAGCAAGTCCCTCAGCTACTTTAGGGGTCAACATTATGTGATTAGGGACAATAGGAGCCCCTGGGAAGGACAGTGACCTCGTACAGAGCAAGCAGGAGGGGCCCCGAGGGCCTCCTGGGTACTCTGCACAGACATGAGGTAACCAAGGCTTCTGACTCTGCACAGTCTTTGGTAAACCCCTGGTATTTTTCTGGAGAGTATGGCGGGCGTGGCTCTGGGAAGGAGTCATGGCCCTCAGAGAAGGTACCTGGTAACAAGGGCAGGTGCCTCCTTTCTAAAACCAAGATGGCGTGAGTCTCTGTACCCTGAGGTGGGGCAACTCTGTGTGAGTCACTGCAAGCAGGGGTGGTGTGCACCAGTTCCATTGACAACAATAGGGTCTAAGGATCCCTTTATCTTAACTCACACCACCAAACTTGGAAAGATAAGACCAGGCTGTGAAAATTATCAGAGATAAAGAGGTTTTTGAATGGAAGTGGTAGAGAATTCACACACACCTTCTCCCCCCTGGAAGGTTTGTCATAGATTGGTACACATTTCAGTTTTCAAAATAAATAGACCAATGTTCAAAAACTGTGTTCCTTCTCTCCATTGAAAATAGACTGGGGCGAGTATTTCTGTCACCAATTTGACTTGACAGCACTTGGGAAACCAGATGAATGCCTTTTGCAGGGACAGTTAATCAGATTTTTTAAACTGACTTTTTTTTCTTTTCCTTCTTTTTTTTTAAAAAGGTATAATACTAATAAGTGTGCATGACAAAATTTAAACATAAGGGAAGTAAAATTTGAGATACAAGTTTCTCTTTCCCCATCCCTACAAACTCTGCTTCCATTCCCCACTGGAACCTTGCAGAACATGTACGTGCAGAACCAAAGGGCATGTGTGTGTGCGTGCATGCCTGTGTGCACACCTGTGCACATGTATACTTTTAACACATCAATGAGATTACACTATGCAATACTGCTCTGCATCTTGGCATACTGAATAAATAATATGTTGAAGAGATCTTTTCAAATTAATACGAACAGACTCAACTCATTCTTTTGTATCCTAATTTTTTGTTGTTATTGTCTTGTCATTGAAAGAGACATACAAAACTTCTTGAGATTGTGGACTCACAGTTCCGTTAGTGTTTGCTTTCTGTGTTTGGAGGCCATGTTCTTAGGTGCATATGGGTTCATCACAGTTCTTGTTCTTCTCCATCACAGTCATTCCTCATGTCCACAGTTTTTGTCCATCACAGTTTTTGTCCTGCTGGTGAGTCATTCTTCTTATTTTCTTTAACGTTCATGATGCTTTTTGCCTTTAAGTCTATTTCATGGGACAGTCATAGCAATTCAGCAGCTTTCTAATGGGTAATATTGGTTTAATATATCTTTTCTTTCATTTTATTTTAAATCTTTCTGTGTCCTATGTCAGCATATCTCTTCTAAAAAACACACATTTATAAAATATTAAAGGTACATACATACAATGTAGAAAGTGCAATCAACACAGGAGAAGTAAAGAATTCTAACCACCCTGAGCTTCCCTCCCCATGCAATAAATCGTAACAGCTTCTTGCAGATCCCTCTAGAAAACTCTGTCAACAAAAACATATAATTTTAGGTACTATAAAGCAGTGGTCCCCAAACTTTTTGGCACTAGGAACCAGTCTCATGGAAGACAATTTTTCCACAGATGAGGGGTGGCAGGGGGCTATGGTTTCAGGATTTCAGGACAAAACTGTTCCATCTCAGATCATCAGGCATTAGATTCTCATAAGGAGTGCACAACCTAGAACCCTTGAATGTGCAATTCACATAGGGTTTGTGCCCCTGAGAATGTAATGCCACCGCAGATCGGACAGGAGGTTAGGTCAGGTGGTCATGCTCGCTGGCCCACCACTCACTTGCTGCTGTGCAGGCCGGTTCCTAACAGGCCACAGACTGGTACTGGTCTGTGGCCCGTGGGTTGGGGGTCCCTTCCACAAAGGCATCATGGGATGCCTTCATGAAAGGAGTGTCCTTTTTGGCCATACCGCTACAAACCTGGATGTACTTGGGCTGTTGTCCTTCAGTGTCAGCACGTTACCTGCTGTCCTCCACATGTGAGCGAGAACTTGGATGGGTATAAAACTCCCAGAGCCCATTTCCACCCTAACTGTGTAGACCCTGCTCTGTCTCCTTCTCCACAAGAGCACTCAGTGGGAGTTCTGAGGTGGCCTCTTGTACTCTCCTTGGTATGCAACCCGCTATGAAGAGCTCATAGTTCTTTATCTGTAGTGTGCAGGCAAATGTTTACCAACCAGCTTTCTTCGGGGAAAGCCCTGATTGTAGCATTTGCCAGTTTCTGGTAAAACTCCCACTGTGGTGGATTTCCAGCTACCAAATGTCACTGAATGCAGAGTTGGAAAGAGATACACAGTAGCCACCTTTGTGTAGCAACTCCATCATACAGGTACAGTTGTCATAAGCAGCCTCCAGGGCATAAACAGTAGCAAAACAGGTTAAAAATAATTAGGAAGAAATGAGTGTGGAGTATCTATTAACTTTGTTTTTGATATAATTGATTTGGTTGTAAATTTGTTAATTTGATGTACGATAATGGCTGGGATTAACAACTGGCTCACACTATTCTTGATAATTTAACAGCCAGCTCTAAGGGCTGGTGTGAGCCATCTCCAGCACACCCTCGGTCTGTATGTCATTCTTGCTCATGATGCACCTTTTGCCTAGGATGTACTGTGCCCTTTCAACCCACGTTTTCTTTATTTCCTTTAAGCTATTTGCTGTTATCCTTGTGAGATGAAAGCCAGGGCTGGGACACACTGATACAGAAATGGGCCCTGGGGTGCCAGGCTTGGGGGAGACGAGGGGCACCACAGTGAGGACCTGGCTTTCAGCTTGCCTGTGCAGCTTACACTTGGGGCTGCTGAAGTGCGCCGGCCCTGCAACTGGGCCAGGGACTTCCCTAATATCTGTTTTTCTAGAGATGTTGAGCCTGAAGTGAGGCAGTTGAGCAAACAAGTGGACAGCATATTAACATAGCAGGGATTTCTGAAAACCCAGGGTCCTGGCCAGCCATGGGCTGCAGCTCCCTTTTACCTCTGGGTGGTCATGACGGTAAGTACACCAGGTGATGAGGACCATAGTACACTGTTGCTGGAGTGGAGTGCCAGGAAGCCCATGATCTAGCCTGAGGGGACTGCAAATATTTTAGGGACAGACTTCAAAATATACCAAATTAATTGTTAAGCTTTTTTGGTTAATGTCAGAAAAATGGAATGTAGTTAAAATGCAATAATGCTAAACAGCTTGATTTTATTGAAGAGTGTCCTAAAAAGATATAGCCACTTATGTCATTTTATAATTCTATTTGTTCTAATAATGTATCTTTTTTATTCCCCCACTGGGAAAATTTCATGCTGCATGAATTCATTAATGTCTCTTCCTCTGCATGCTTATCTTAGGCTAAGAATGAATGAATTTTCTACTTTGCCTCATTTGACTGTGTAAGAGGGTCAAGAAATAGACCCATCTCTTCAGGATGTAGCAAGTTCACGTTGAAGAACATGTGGGATGGAAAACCATTGCTGTGGCCACCTTAGAAAAATAACATAATGTCGGCCAGGCACGGTGGCTCACACCTGTAATCCCAGCACTTCGGGAGGCCCAGGTGGGTGGATCACCTGAGGTCAGGAATTTGAGACCAGCCTGAGCAACATGGAGAAACCCTGTCTCTACTAAAAATACAAAATTAGCTGGACATGGTGGTGCATGCCTGTAATCCCAGCTACTACAGAGGCTGAGGCAGGAGAATCGCTTGAACCCAGGAGGCAGAGATTGCAGTGAGCCAAGATCATGCCATTGCACTCCAGCCTGGGCAACAACAGCGAAACTCCGTCTCAAAACAAACAAAAAGAAAAAGAACATAATGGCATGGTCTACTCTTTGGCTACAGGCATTCCTGTCCTTTGCATATGCAAAATACACTCACCTCCTTCACCAAGGCCTCCAACATCCCAGCCCATTATGGCATCAGCACAAAGTCCAGGGTCTCATCATCTATGTCAGGTCTGTAAAGTACCCCCAGTGTATTCCTAAGATGCATTTACTCAAGCGCAATCCCTCCCAGCGTGAAGACCTGCAAACTAAAGGGGTCAAATTCCCTCTTCCACACACCCAACATTTTAATACAATGGGGAGGAAAGAAACCAGGATCGGTCTTTCTGACTGAAAAGTCAGAAAGCTGGCGGCACATTAGCAGTCAATGCCCACACAGCTAAAATCCAGCTGCAGGGCACCAATTCCCCTGCTCTAGAGGTAGGAAGTGTACCTTAATTAGAGCTGAGTGTTTGTTCTATGCTCTTGCCTCTCCCTCCATGCTCTTGACTCCACCCTCTGAGTCACCCTTCCTTTCCCCCGAAAAACGGTCCATATTTTCATCTGATTACCTCTCTTAGTCATCTTCCTGGACATAGAAGATGGATGTCCCAGAGACTTCTTCTAATTTTGAATTGTCCCTTTATTCAGAGCTGACAGTGCTTCCACCAATACAATTCTCTTAAAAACTTGGTGGATTTCCTACAAATCTTAAGGGGGTCTCACTCCATTAGACAAAGATATCATCACAAGTCTCTCAGTCTCACTGAAAGAGTAAATGAGGCATGCCTTAAATCTTTCTCAAGTCTCAATAAAAGGTATGAAATCCACACTTTTAATCTGAACTTTACCCCACAGCCATAGTTGACTTCAAACACACTGAGTTCCATCTTTGCCACGCAGCATTTTCTTACTGTGAGAATATTTCTTTGTCTGAAAGATGCATATGAGAAACCACTTAGAGAAACCCAGCCAAGTCCTGACACCTTTATATTTTCTTTAAATTTTGCTCAAAAATGGGACATTCCTTCATTATTTTATCTATATTACACACAGCTAAAAGAAAGCAGTTGCCAATTATGACAGTCTGCCTCAAAGTCTCTTCAGTCAAACCCACAAGCTCATGTGGTATATTTTTTGGTGTCCTGGTTTCCCCAAAGGATATTTTAACTAACGTTTCTGCTGCTACATGACAGCAGTCACTCTTTTCCATCTTTCCAGGTGTTCCCTCACTGAACTTTGAGACTTTACTATCAGTCTCATTGAGGTCTCTTAGCCCACACTTCCATCCCTAAGATGATTTCCCCAGTTTTAGGCTTTTGTTTCAGTAGCACCTCATTTCAAAGGTGCCGTTCACTTCCCAAGTAGTGCACCTGCAGTGTTGGGCAACAGAGAAAAAGTCCCTTTCTAATTCATACAAAGGGCTGGTGGAGGCCCAGGTCCCTCAAAGAAATTCTCCACTGCTTCACTTGTCCAAATGCCCCATCATCCAAGCCCAGCCAAAGTTCCTCTTCTGCTGTGTGGCCAGCCTTGACTTCTCCTCGCCTCTGAACTCCTTCTGTCTCATGTTAATCTTCTCTTGCAGCACTTTGTGTAGAGTTATTGGTTTATATATCTCATTATTCTCATCTTGGTAAATTCTGGGTTGCACAGTACGAGGTTTTACTCTGAATTTTCAGTACGCATGTGATAACAGAATGAGTAAGTCAGTGAATGAGAGTCCACTCCCTCTTGCTCCCAACTTCATTCTAAAATGATAAATAAATTAAAGTAATGGTTACATTCCAAGGGGGATAAACACCAGGCAGGTTGTAATAGATGCTGTTACCACATTTCACCAAAAATTTAAGGTAGCACCACTTTTAAGATGTACCACTATTTTATATGCTGTTAAGGAATGTTGGCAATTGTTTTATGTTCATTGAAAAAGAACCTCTTCATCACGCCCATGCCTTCTTCTACCTTTTTGAGCATATGAAATCTAGTTAGCACTGCCTCACTGTTCTTGTATACAAATCCCATTGTATCTGTCTTCTCTGGGTCTGTTTCTATTGATGGATTTTGACCCTGGGTATGAATCATATTTTCCTGCTTCTATGTGTGATAGTTTTTGATTGAATGGTATAGACATTGTGAAAGGTACATGGGTGGGTGCTGAATTTTTGGTATTACTTTGAATATTCTTGGGTTGTGTTGGAATCCTTTTGAGGATTGCTTAGAAGCCTCGTTAGTGTGGGTCCTTCAGCCTGGGGCTAATCTGGCCCCATTGCTGACACACTACCCTGCTGCAGCCTCCACGATGCCCTTTGAATTAGGAGGTCTTTCCACTCTGGCTTGTGGGAACACGAACAATCCCAGCCCTGTTCGAGCTCCTCCGGATGTTCTGCCTCCTCCTTTCTAGTGGTTCTTTTCCCCTCAGGTAATTTCTTCATAGGCATGCGTAGATCAGTGCTCAGCCACAGTTCTCTGGGTGGGTCTCCCTCTCGCCTTCTCTCACCCCATCTCTTTCTCTCCTCCCCCATCTCTTTCTCTCCTTCCCCATCTCTTTCTCTCTCTGTAGCTCCCTCTTCTCTTGTACTCAGCCCTGAAAATTCTGGTTGCCTTGGCTTCCCCCAACTTATAACTCAGTCTCTGCCGCAGCAAGACCCCGCCTTATCTGGGTACCCCCTCTCAGGCTCTGGCCTGGAGCTCCTCTCCAGACAGTAGCCAGGGGCTGGAAGGTCTCTCCTCATTAGTTTCTCCTCTCTCAGTAACTGCTGCCCAATTCTGACCGCTGTCCCATGTCTCAAAAGACATTTTTGCATATATTTTGTCCTTCTTTCTAGTTGTTTAAGGTGAGAGAGTAAATCTGGACCAGTTATTCTGTCGTGGCTCAAAGTGGAAGTCTTAGTTTTTGTTTAACTACAAATGCTTTTGTTTTACTCTCATTCTTGAAAGGTATATCATGGGATGAACAGTTCTTGTTGAAAGCTGTTTCCTCCCAGGTATTTGAGACCTCTGCTTCTCACGGCTTCCCCTATTGCTGTTTAGGTGTTGGTTTCAGTGCCGTTCAACAGTTACTCATTCTTCTCTCCAGTTGCTTTTATAATCTTTGTCTTTGAGAATCTCCAGTTACAACAGGTGTGTCCAGATGTGGTTTTCTTCAAACACACTCTGCTTAGATTCTCTGAAGCTTCAGAGTCTGAGAAATGGTGCCTTTCCATTCACATCTCTTCCCTATTACCTTGGCCCATTTAATCCACTTTTTTTCCTCCTAGAGCCCCAGTTAGGCCACGTGGGGCCTTTTTACTCCATCACAATGCTAACCACTAAAGAGAACTTATTTTTCACCCTTTGTCTGTGTTGCACTCTGGGTGACTTCTTCAAATATATCTTCCAGTTCGCTAATTTTATATGTATTTGCATCTAATTTGCTGCTTAGCCTATTCATTGTTTTCAAATTCATTTATTCTTTTTTATTCCTAAGATGTTTCTCATATCTGCCTCCTCAATTCTGACAGTGTGGCAGGGTGCGGTGGCTCACACCTTTAATTCCAACTTTGGGAGGCTGTGGCGGGTGGATCAACTGAGGTCAGCAGTTCGAGACCAGCCTGGCCAACATGGTGAAACCCCATCTCTGCTAAAAATACAAAAATTAGGCAGCCGTGGTGGCACGTGCCTGTAATCCCAGCTACACAGGAGGGTGCAGGAGGCTGAGGCAGGAGAATCACTTGAACCCAGGAGGTGGAGGTTGCAGTGAGCCCAGATCGCGCCATTGCACTCCAGCCTGGCGACAGAGTGAGACTCCATCTAAAAACAAAACAAACAAAAAAAACAGTTCTGATGGTGTCCCGTCCACTTATTTTTAACGCCACGTTTTAGTTCTTTAAACACATGGGTCACGATACTCCCAGGCCCAGGTTGGGCCGCTCTCTTCCTCGTCTCCCCTTGAGGCCGGGGACGTGTAGGAGTGGGGCCTTCGCACGGAGTTCTCCAGCGGACTTCTTCCTTTCTTGCCTTTCCGTTTTTTTTTTTTTTTTTAATTTTTAATTTTCCCGTTCCACCCAGACCCCTCTGGGGCGCGAGGAAGGTCCCCAGGCTGCGGGTCCCGCGCCGGCCCGGCCGCGCTTCTAAGGCAGGACTGCCGCGTGTCGGTCACGGTGTCGCGTATTCTCCGCGGGACGGACGTGTCTTCAGGTCCAACCCGCCCGGTGGGAAGCGCAGACACTGATTTTCCAGAAAAAGTCCTCCTTCCGTTTCCCGCACTGGTAGGAAAGCTGGGGAGAGAGAAGGAGTCTCACCGTCCTGGACCAGTCGGAACCACAGAGGCCGCTCCGGGTCCGGGGGCGACTTCCGAGTGGGGGAAGGAGGCCGGAGGGCGCGCGGCCGAGCCCAGACCCAGCAGAGCGCGCGGCCGCCCGCTCCCAGGTTTCCCTCCATCTCGGCCCCGGCCGCCTCTGAGGTTCTGGACCAAGCCCAGTGCCCGCTGCCCGCAGAAGGCCTCACTCTGGAGCCGGCGGGGAGGGCGGGGACGCGGCTGTCCAGAGCTCCGTGCCCGCCCCGGGAGTTCGAAGGGTGCTGGGGCCGAGGGGAAGGCTCTGGTCGGCGGCGTCAGCGGCAGCTCCCAGACGACCTAGGACTGCAAAGGGCCCAGGACGGGGGGCGGGGCGGAGACAGGAGGCGGGGCGGAGGCATGGGGGCGGAGACATGAAGGGGCGGGGCTGGGGCGGGGCTGAGGCAGGAGGGGCGGGGCTGAGGCAGGAGGGGCGGGGCTGAGGCAGGAGGGGCGGGGCAGAGCCTGAGACACCCCGCCCCGCCCCCCACCTCCACCTCGAGCCCGCCCCTCTCCCAGGCTCCTGCTCCAGGGCGAACCCGGGGGTCCTCTCCCATGGCTCTGTGGGGGACCCCGGGGAGGTCGCCCTGGCACGGGACACTGTCGCGGGGTAGGACCCGAGAGGGTCTGGGGCGGTCAGGCTTCATCCTGAGCACCGCCCGGGTGCAGGGAGCGCTGGGTGCTGGGTAAGCGCGCGCCTGCGGGAGAGGCGGAGGCGGGGGCGGGGGCGGGGGCGGCAGGGAGCCCCTGGGCACCCACGGCGGGCGAGGCGGCGGCTTCCACTCCCAGGGAGCGGGGGTTTCGCGCAGGGGACGGCGCCCGGCTTGAAATTTAGGAAATTCCGGTGTCCCGCCCGCGCAAGAGGCGCTGGAGCATTTCCAGGTCGTTATAGGGCCCGGCCGCGTGGGGACCCCGGGGCAGATGCGCACCAAGCCTGGGACGCGCCTCCCAGGCCCTGCCCGAGAAACCCTTGCATGCGTGGGCACACACACAGAGATACACACAACACTCCATATGGACACACACACACACACAGATACACATAACACTCCATATGGACACCCACACACACTCCACATAGACACACACAACACTCCACATAGACACACACATAGATACACACCACTCCACATAAGACACACACACAGATACATACCACTCCGCATAGGCACACACACACATACACAGGTACACACAACACTCCATATGGACACACACACAGAGATACATACTACACATAGACACACACCATGCACAAACCACACACACATGCAACACTCCACAGACATACACACAGATACACAGATACACCACGCCACATAGACACACCATCACACCACACACACAAAACACATCACATAGAGACACACACCACACACATACAAGATGCCACATAGATACACCACACACAAACCACACACACACACCTCATAGACACACAAACCATGCACACTATGCACAAACCACACACACGCATACATACCCACAACACACCACATACACACCATGCATACCACACCCACACTCCACATAGACACACAAACCACGCACACATACATACACACAACACACCATATGCACAAATCACGCACCAGCCACACACACAACAGGCCACATAGACACACACAACACGCACACCACACACACAAAACACTCCACATCGACACACAACTCACGCACAAACCACACACACACAACATGCCACATAGGCACACACACCACGCACACCACACACACACAAAACACTCCATGTCGACACACAAATCACACACAAACCACACACACAAAACACTCCACATAGACACACATACCATGCACACCACCCACACACAAAAAAACACACCACATAGACGTGTTAGGTAGTTAGACACACATCAGCAGCTGGGAGAGGGTAAAAAGGAGAACAGAGAAGCTGTCATTAAGCCCCTGGCCCACCTAAGTTCAGCCCCGAGCCCGCCCTAACTCCACCATGAGGGACGGAGTTTGAAGTGAAACCTGTGGCCAGCATGTCCTGTGGAAGGGGAAACCAGGGCACAGGTAGAAATCCCTAGAGCAGCATGTGCCCAGTGACCTAAAACTGTAATAACATTTACATGTGGCCCCCCCACACTGGGCTTTTCTTAATGAATTATGGGTAAAAATATGCACAGTTTAATTTTAGCTGTGTCACCATAAGCTGCCAAATGACATCAGCCTGTCACTCAGCCCAAACCTCAGCTACTTCTCACACCCCACAGAAGCACCTTGAGCTCTGTAACCAGGTGCTGATGTCACTTCTCAGAAATCAGCCTGCACACCCTCTGAGACAGTATTACTGGAAATTTCAATCAACCTTGTTTTAAGCTTACATTTTGGTGTTTGCAGTTCTTTGCTCACTGTCACAAGAACCCAGATTGCTGGTTCAGAGCTCTGGCTCTGTGGATCTTGTCGGTTAAAAAATCCATCCGAACACAGAATTCTCGGTAACACACACACAATACACCAGGTGGACATACAACACACACATGCACAAGGATGTTCACGATGACAGTGCTTGAAATAGAGGAAAACAATGCGTCCACATTTCCGTCAGTCAACCGTGGCCCGCCTATGGCCACCCGTCCATAGGGTCTGGATGAGGTCAAACGGGGGCCCCGTCAACAGCACAAGAAAATCATCAGCCAATTTTGCTTGGGAACAAGGGTGCAAAAATCTAAACTTACAGAAATCACTACACAAATCTGACAGTGATTTAAAGATAACACCCGGTGATCAGATAGGAGTGCAGGAGTGCAGAGCGGGCTGACAGGGAAACCTGCGCCTGTTGAGGCAGGAAAATTGGGTCTGGAGGCAGGGAGCATAAGGCAGTTCACACTTCAGCTACCACAGGAAATATCCTCTCCATAGGGCATGGGCCAAGTAAATGACTTTGTAACTTCACTTCATCCTCTCCAGTTACATAGGGTGTACCCCCAAGAAGCCCCATGGCGCCATCACTCCACGGCCCCATCACCCCACGGCCCCGTCGCCCCACGGCCTCGTCGCCCCACAGCCCCGTCGCCCCACGGTCCCATCACCCCATGGCCCCGTCATTTCAGCACTGGCGGCTGCTCTGCCCTGGGATGCGCCTGTCACGTGCAGTGATTTAAACATCAGTGAGGTGATTGATTCAAATACTGCGTACTCTTGCTAGTATTTTCCTTGCATGCTGATATGGTTTGGCTGTGTCCCCACCTAAATCCCAACTTGAATTGTATCTCCCAGAATTCCCACGTGTTGTGGGAGGGACCCAGGGGGAGGTAATTGAATCACGGGGACCGGTCTTTCCTGTGCTATTCTCGCCAGAGTGAATAAATCTCACGAGATCTGATGGGCCTATCAGGGGTTTCTGCTTTTGCTTCTTCCTCATTTTCTCTTGCTGCCGCCATGATTCTGAGGCCTCCCCAGCCATGTGGAACTGTAAGTCCAATTAAACCTTTTTTTCTTCCCAATCTCGGGTATGTCTTTGTCAGCGGCATGAAAAGGGACTAATACACATGCTTTATTGGTGACCAGGAGATGTTTTAAATTTTTCTATATGATTGTGGATTTCTCTTCTTCTTTCTTGGACTCTGCAACTTTGTTTTCTGTAGTTTGAGGCTGGCATCTTCCCGTGGGCTGGGCCCCATGCCACCAGCTGACCCTGGTCTGCTGAGCTCCTTGCCCGTGGTTCCTCTGCTTGGTGTTAATGCAGCCACCCCAGCTTTCCAGACCTCCCTTTCCATTTATCTTTCTGTGGCCTTACATTGAGGGTGTGTCTCCTGCAGGATCCAGTGTATCTTTATCTTTGAATTGAACTTTCTGGTTCTTTTGTTTTGATTCCATTATCTGCGTTTGAATTCTGGCATTATGAATTGTTTTCTGTTTTTCCTACTTGTTCCCTGTTCCTTCTTCTCCTCGTGGCTTCGATTATTTTTTATTCCATGTTTATCCTCTCTTAGCCTGCCAGTTATGAATTACTGTTCATTCAGTAGTTATCCATGTTAAAGTCCAGTGTAAATTCTTCCTGCTATCTCTTACCAGACCACCAAAGATTTACATCACCCCTTTATTCCATCCCACCCTTTGTTCTGTTGTTCTTATGTATTTTAACTCTACTTGCATGTCAAACTCTGGAAATCACTATTGTTATTATTTTCTTTTTCATTTTTTCGGGTCTTGCTCTGTCACCCAGGCTGGAGTGCAGTGGCACCGTCACAGGTCACTGCAGTCTCCAACTCCCAGGCTCTACCAATCCTCCCACCTCAGCCTCCCCAGTAGCCAGTACTACAGGCATACACAACCATGCAGTCTAATTTTTTAAAATTTTTGGTAGAGACAGCGTCTTGCTGTGTTGCCCAGGCTGGTCTCAAACTCCTGGGCTCAAGTGATCCTCCTGCCTCTGCCTCCTAAAGTGCTGAAATTGCAGGTGTGAGCCCCCGTGCCGGACACATTATCATTATTTTCTACCATGTATGCGTCTCTTTATTCACTTCCCTTTCCCGGGTCTGCGTTCCTTCCTTTATCCCCAAGCTCCCACCCCACCCTGGGGGGTCATTTCCTTTCCACCCTAAGAGCCCCTCATCATGGGTGCCGGTCTCTGGGTGGTCACTCCCCGGCCCGTCCGGGGTCACCTCCCTCCCACTCCCCTGCCTGCCTGGGGCCACCTCCCTCCACTCCACTGCTCATCCAGGGTCACCTTCCTCCACTCCCTTGCCTGCCTGGGGTCACCTCCCTCCCACTCCCCTGCCTGCCTGGGGTCACCTCCCTCCCACTCCCCTGCCTGCCTGGGGCCACCTCCCTCCACTCCTCTGCAGCTTCTCTGCATTGCTTCTTCTCCTTCACCTTTTTTGGTTGATTTTCATCTTGTACCCTTGGCATTTTTGGTTGAGTGACAGATGTTCATAGGACAGGTCTCAGGCCACCAGTGGTGCCGTCTCCAGGGAGCCGAGTGGCGCTCGCTCCTGTGGTCACCCAGGGAGGGAGGCCCTTGTGACCCAACTGCAGACTCTGGGAGGGTGGGGTCAGGCTGATTCCCCTTCAGGGTTCCCACCAACAGCTGAGGGGCTTCTCGGGGCCCCTTTGTTTCCTTTGGCCCCATGAGTGCTGAGAGCTGAGTCCGGCTCCCATGGCTCAGCTCAGCTTTTGCTTCCCCAGTTATTGGTCAGCCCGGATCCACGCCGCCCCAAGCATCAGCCCATCATCCTTACTTTCCCCGTCTTTCAGACCTTGGCCCCCAAAATTGTCACTGCTTTAGGAGTTCTTCATTGATTTCGAACAGACATTTTAAGATAGTTTTTTCTAGCTTGTGTTGTGTTTTTAATGGGAGAGTTGGTCAGCGTCTGCTGGAACAGAGCTACGCCTATGGAACCGTAGACTTGTTCGTGCTTTATTGTAAGTTTCAGTCGCTCCTGTGTGCATGTGTGCATGTGCCTGGTGTGTGTGTCTTTGCATGTGTGTGCTCACATCTACATGTGCGTCTGCACATGTGCATCTGTGCATGTGTCCGTCTGTCTGCATGTATCTGTGCATGTGTGTGCACATGTGCATGTGTGTGATCTGAGGCATCTTCCCATGACTGCTGCTTTCTGCTCCAGTTGCTCCTGGCTGAGCATCAGTGCAGCATCAGTGCACCCCCTCAGCACCTGGACACCACTCCAGAGACTTCTGAGCAGAGGCTGACAGCGCAGGGGGGCTTACTAGCTGCCTTTCATGCTGGCCGTGGTGGGTGAGCTGTCCAGCTCTCCTCTCCCAGATCTTCCAGGGGCCAGCAGGCTTCCACTAACCACAGGGCCTGGGGGCACTTCAGTCTACCAGGGCAGATGCTTGCCAGGCCCATGGGGACCAGCAGGCTCCCGCAGGCCCTCCCAAAGCCACATGCAGCAGTGCGGCTGGCAAGCCCCACTTGGGGGAGACCCTGCTGTTGCCGGCCAGGCCTGTGGGACAAGTACAGTCTGACATCTTTGCCGATGGCCTGGAGATGAGCACCCCCTGCTCTCTCCTCGATGTTGCAGCAGAACCCACGCGTAGAGAGGGTTGGGGCGAGCAGTCCAGGCAGACCCCCGGGATTTTCCTGCCGTATTGCACAAGCATTCATGCGTTCATTTAATCTTGCTTTTTTAGGCAATACTTTAAAGACACAAAGTCTCAACAACCATCTTCCGCTTGACGAGACAGATCATTCTAATTTGAGCAGAAGCTACTATGTCCTGCCCTTTGAACGCGGCGGCCCGGACAGCTGACAAGGACACACTGTGTATTTCCATTCCAATTCTGGGAGTGCTCTGAGGCCTCTGGGGGAGAAGGACCCATGAAATATTCAAAACATAAGTGAATAAAATATCTAGGTGCTAGATATGGGCCAGGAAGAGCCCTCGGCCCTGCAAAGTGTGTGTGATGGTGAGAAGCTACCGGAAGAGATGGTCCCTGTGCTTGGTTCATTCCTTGGACATTTATCAAGCTGACGAATGTAGCAGAGGTGCTTCAGTCGGCTGTAATTCCACGGGTGGAGTGCTGGCTGGAGAGTTACCTGGGGCTGTCACACTGCATGGGCTCCGGGACACTGTGGCTGCCCTTATGTGGTGTCCCCGGAGGGCCCTGCAGGTGTCACACCGCTGCTCCACACTGCCACCTGCTGTCAGCATCTGTGCAACGTATCCAGGTCTCTGGGGGCTAGAATGAAAAACATGCATCTCGTAACCAATGAAATCGGGCTTGTCCTGAAGACCTCGTGCATTCATCCATTCTCACACTGCTATAAAGACATACCTAAGACTGGGCACTTCATGAAGAAAAGAGGTTTAATTGGCTCACGGTTCTGCAGGCTTTACAGGAAGCATAGCAGCTTCCACTTCTAGGGAGGCCTCAGGAAACTTATAGTCATGGTGGAAGGTGAAGGCGGGACAAGGCGTCTCACATGGGAGCAGTAGAGAGAGAAAAAGAGGGGGTGCCGCACACTTTGAAACAACCAGATCTAACGATAACTCACTATCATGAGAACAGCACCAAGAAGCTGGCGCTAACCCACTTGTGAAGGACCACCACCATGATCCAATCCCTTCCCACCAGGTCCCACTTCCAACGTTGGGGATTACACTTCACGGTGAGATTTGTGCAGAGAGGACACAGGTCCAAACCATATCACCTGCTGTCTTTTTATTTATTTATTTATTTATTTATTTATTGAGACAGAGTTGCTTCGTCACCCAGGCTGGAGTGCAGTGGCGTGATCTCGGCTCACTGCAAGCTCCGCCTCCCGGGTTCGCACCATTCTCCTGCCTCAGCCTCCCGAGTAGCTGGGACAACAGGCGCCTGCCACCACACCCAGCTAATTTTTTGTATTTTTAGTAGAGACGGGGTTTCACCATGTTAGCCAGGATGGTCTCCATCTCCTGACCTCGTGATCCGCCCGCCTCGGCCTTCCAAAGTGCTGGGATTACAGACATGAGCCACTGCGCCTGGCCTATTGATTTATTTTTGAGATGGGGTTTCGCTCTTGTGGCCCAGGCTGGAGTGCAATGGCACGATCTCGGCTCACTGCAACCTCCGCCTCCCAAGTTCAAGTGATTCTCCTGTCTCAGTCTCCCAAGTAGCTGGGATTACAGGCATGCGCCACCATGCCCAGCTAATTTTGTATTTTTAGTAGAGACAGGGTTTCTCCATGTTGTTCAGGCTGGTCTCGAGCTCCCGACCTTAGGTGATCCACCCGCCTCAGCCTCCCAAAGTGCTGGGATTACAGGTGTGAGCCACTGCGCCTTGCCCACCTGCTGTCTTTTTGCATCTTCCAAGTAGACATCAAAGATTGGTTTGCTATCAGTGTCACTTCTATAATCCGTGGTTCTATATGAAGAAAACAAAATCCCAATTGGGGAAAATGAACCCATGGCATTTTGTTTCTTACTCTGGAGCCGTTTCTGGCAGTTTGCCAGCAAGCACACAGACCCACAGGACAAGCTTGGTTCATGGCCTGGAGTGCTGGTCTTGCTCATGGACACGCAATCAGAAGCAGTATTTTGATACCCCTGTGCTCATGGCAAGGAGCTGCGTGGGCTTTCAGGGTGGAACCAGGGCTTCAGGGAACCCCTTCATCCCGACAGGCATCACCCAGAGCACACCCAGAGCAGCCTGCAGCGGCGTGGAAGGGGCTTGCACTGGCCCCAAGGTGCAGGGGAGCCCTGCCTGCCTGTCTCCTGCTAGGCTTGCCTGGGCTCCCGCCTACAGACCATGAGAATTCTTCTAGCATGGGAAGAGAGTCTGACCAAAGTGACAACAGCCATCCCCTGACTGCCCAGCACTGTTCACTTCTTCCCAGATACTCCTACCAGACCAGGTCAGCCCTTCTTTTACTGGGGGGCCAGAAAGGTCCCCCCAATCCAGTCCAGGACTCCAGATGATGCCCATTTCTCTGCCAGTCCCAGCAATCTCCCTTCTCAGCATCTGGCATCCTGGGATGTACCCTAAAGTTCACTGGCTCAGAGCACCCTAACTATGGCTGCGGCGAGGGGGGAGGGCGGGATCAGGTCGGCGTGCTGCACATGGGTCCTGGGGCGGGAACAGTATTCTGGCTATGCTCCTGCAGCTGGGCCCTCACAAGGGGCAGCGTCTGCACCCTCTCAAGGCTTTGCAGATAAGGGTTTATTGAAGAGGGAGGTGACCCACACCATCCCCACTGAGGGATCTGGTTAGGGGGCTCCCCCCAGAATGTAGGCAAGAGGGCAGCATCTTGATAGTGAGGGTTGGTCACCCGGGAACCACAGTAACGTCTGCAGGGACCTTCCCCCAGTGGCACGCACTTCCCAGAATGCTCACGGTCACCCTCAGCTTTCAACTGTGGGGACCTAACGCGTCTCCTGGTAGAGTCCTCACTCCCTTGGCTAAAACTTCTGAAAGCAGCGAGGCCGGGCTCCCTGGCTAGGATGGCTCTGGCCCTGAGCAGGTCATTTGCGTCAAGTTTCACCACCCAGCACCCTGTGCTTTCCCCAGCTGGCTGCACGCTGGGCCTCCGGGAAGCCGGCAAGCCCACCTGATTCTGGATCCTCCCTCCGAGCCTGGGTGACGCTGTCATGAAAGAAGCTGCCAGAAGCCCACAGCAGGGCAGTTAGGCAGGGAATGCGAGTCCGTGTCCAGAGCAAGGGTGACTCCAGTCCCTCCAGGACGGAGAAGCCAGTGCGACCCACTGTCCCAGGCCCCCATGGCCCTGGCTGCTCCTGGCGGACAGAGGGGCATGTTGCCCACGCTATGCCTTGTTCCCTCTGGGCTGCCATGGCCCCTGGAACAATTCCTGGGACAGCCTGGGGAGGAGGCTGACAATCATGCAAGGTGGATGCAGCTTGGCCCCTCCCAGTCACCTATGTGTTCCTTCCTCAGACTCCCGTGGGGCTGGAGTCATGATTTTGCTCCCCATCCCATCTGTAGGCCGCCCCTGCCTGGATGAGACCACGCTGACACTCACACGCCTCCCTCCAGGAGGACCTTGCCTCCACTTTCTCCAGGGCCACCTGTGATGCACCAGGATCCATCCTGTAATCCCAGCTACTTGGGAGGCTGAGGCAGGAGAATCACTTGAACCTGGGAGGCGAGAGGCAGAGGTTGCAGTAATAAGCCAAGATTGGACCACAGCACTCCAGCCTTAGCAATAGAGAGAGACTTCGTTTCAAAAAAAAAAACCTATGCAAATCCCAATTACACACGCTGAGTGGCATGTTCAGCTGAGCCACCTGCCCAAGGCGGGACCCTCTCTTCCTCCGTCTGCAGGTCACATGGAGATGGCAGAGCACCTGCACGTGCACCTGGAGACCCTCTCAAGCCTCGTCTCCTGGCACTGCCTCCTCCTGACATTGGAGGCTGCTGGGAGTACCAGCCTGTAACCCTCGTTGTGATGGCACCTGCCTGGTGCTATAATTCAGACATTTGTCTCCCCAACCTCATGTTGAAATTTGAACCCCAATGTTGGAGGTGGGACCTGACAGAAGGTGCCTAGGACATGAGAGCTTGGTGCTGTCCTCGCGGTCATGAATGCATTCATGCTTTATTCCTTCTCACAAGAACTGATTGTTAAAAACGCTTGGCACCTCCTCTGCCCACTCTCTCTTGCTCCCTCTCTCACCATATGGTCTGCATGCACCTGCTCCCATCGCCTTCTGCCATGAGTGGACACTTCCTGAGGCCTCACCAGAAGCAGATGCTGGCACCATGCTTCTTGTACAGCCTGCAGAACTGTGTGCCAAATAAACCTCTTTTCTTTATAAATCACCCAACCTCCCAACACAAATCGTCCAAGACACCTGGTGTCCCCCAAACAGCTCCTTGGTCAACCTCAGATTCAGGACCAATCTGAGAGCTGTTTCCGTGAAGGGAGGAGAGGAGAGTTGTTAGCTGAAGAGGACATGGGTTTGCTCAAGATCCCTGCATTCTCCACTATGGCTCTCTGATTCTCCTCTCTGAGCTTGTGGCAGACACGGCAGATACCTCAAGCATGGCTGGGCAGCAGATGCTGGCTGAGAGGAAGTGGCTGAGCCCAACTTGTCCCTCCTCAGACCCCAGAATTGCCAAGACCAGAGTCCTCCATAAAGACCTCACAAACAGGCAATCACTGCATGCTTTTCCACAATTAAATATGTGCACATCTTAAGGAAAGGACCTAACATCCTTCAGCAGTATCTCTTTCCAGGGCAGGGAGTGACTGCGTCAGCAGCCTCAAGTACCTGGAAACTGTCCACATCAGGCAAAGTGGTGGGAGAGACACAGATGTTTCCACCAGCATTTAAAAGAAAGGAAAGAAAATTATTGACAAGAAGCCTCCATGGTGGATCAGGCTTCAACGTTTTGATGGACCTGGCCTCTCTTGGAAGCAAATCCCTGGATGGAGCCCATGTCTCTTTGGGCCCCCAAAGGCAGCCTGACCTTGACACGGAGTGCAAAGCAGACTCAGCTGCTTGTGTTTAATGGGGATTCGCATAGTTGGTTTTTGGTTTTGTTTTTGTTTTGTTTTGTTTTTTGTTTTTTTTTGAGATGGAGTCTTGCTGTGTTGCCTAGGCTGGAATGCAGTAGCGTGATCTCTGCTCACTGCCTGCAACCTCTGCCTCCCCAGTTCAAGTGATTCTCTTGCTTCAGCCTCCCGAGTAGCTGGGATCACAGGCACGTGCCACCATGCCCTGCTAATTTTTGTATTTTTAGTGGAGATGGGGTTTCACCATGTTGGCCAGGCAGGTCTCGAACTCCTGACCTCAAGTGATCCTCCCACCGCAGCCTCGAACAATGCTGGGAAAACAGGCGTGAGCCACTGTACCCAGCTGGGATTTGTGTAGTTTTGTCCGTGCTGTTATATGGTGCACTGGGCAGAGCCAGCCAGTCCCGCCTCGAGCCCCGTTACTTTGGTCTCTGATGCAGATGTTGTGTGGCAGTGGAACGGCCTCATCAGCCCCACCTGGGACCTGGCAGGGGATGGGTCTGAGCAGCCCTAGAGGAGGGTCCCCAGGGCCCACAGCAAGGGTGACATGACCCACACCATCCCCACTGATGGGACCCACACAGTGAACCTCCTCCCACACCCCCTCCCCAGCCGGCCACTTGGACCAGAGAGACGTTATCAAAGTGCCCTCTCAGAAACGTCGCCTTCATCCACCATCCTCTTTTAACCCACTGGGCTTGGTCAGGAAGCCGTTGGTCAGCAGGGGGCAGGTGGGGTTGGGGGGCACCCTTATGTCCTGTGAGACCCTAGCAGGCACTCCAGCTTGGGATTTCCAGAGGCTCTGAGGTGGCTAAGAACAGGATGACAAATCGACTCCAAGGTTCAACTCTTCCCCTCATGGACACTCCTCCCTATGCTGTTCTCATCTCAAATTTTACCTGTTTTTCTCAAAGTAGCTCACCAGAGGTTGGAAATGAGATCAAAGGTCAGCGTGGATCTCAACATTATTATTCATCAGGGAAATGCAAATCACACCAGAGATGAGACGCCATGACACTCACACTAGCAGGGCTAAAATTTAAAAGTCTAGCTGGGGCTGGGCATGGTGGCTCATGCCTGTGATCCCAGCACTTTAGGAGGCCAAGGCAGGAGGATTGCTTGAAGCCCAGGAGCTCAAGACCAGCCCCGGCACCAAAGCAAAACTGTACCTCTACAAGAATTTTTTTTTTAATTGGCTAGATGTGGTACACATGCCTGTGGTCACAGCTACTTGGGAGGCTGAGGAGGGAGGATCACTTGAGTCCACGAGTTCGAGGCTTGGTGAACTGTGATCATGCCACTGCACTCCAGTCTGGGCAACAGAGTGGGACCTCATCTCTTAAAAATAAAGAAAAGGAAAGGAGTGGAAAGGAGAGGAGAGGAAGAAACTTGATATTTCAATTATTTTAAATTTGTTGAGACTTGTTTTGTGGCCTAACATATGGTCTATCCTGGAGAATGTTCCATGTGCTGAGGAAAAGAATGTATATTCTGTACAGCTGTTGGATGGAATGGTCTGTAAATGTCTGTTAGGTCCATTTGGTCTAAACCATAGTTTAAATCCAATGCTTATTTGTTAATTTTCTATCTGATGATATGTTGAAGGCTGACAGTGTGATGTTGAAGACCCCAACTGTTACTATATTAGAGTCTCTCTCTTTAGATCTAATAATATTCACTTTATATATCTGGATGATTTGGTGTTGGGTGCATATATATTTACAATTGTTATATCTTCTTGCTGAGTCAGTCCCTTTATCGTTATATAATGACCTTCATCTCTTTGTAGTTTTTGACTTAAAGTCTGTTTTATCTGATAGAAATATAGCTACTATCGCTCACTTTGGGTTGATGAAATATCTTTTTACATCCCTTCCCTTTTAGTCTGTATGTGTATTTATAGGTGAAGTGAGTTTCTAACAGGCAGTATATAGTTAGGTCATTAAAAAAAAATCCATTCAGCGAGTCTGTATCTTTTAAGTGGGGAATTTCATCCATTTACCTTCAGGATTATTATTGGTAGGTGAGGGTTTATTTTATAATTTTGTTAATTGTTTTCTGATTGTTTTGTATATCCTTTGTTTCTTTGTTCCTTTCTTCCTTCTCATTATTTATCATTGAGGTTGGGTGGTTTTCTGTAGTGATAAGGTTTGATTCTTTTCTTTTTCTGTTTTGGATATTTGCTTTACCACTGAGTTTTATACTTTTGTGTGTTTTCATGATAGTGATTGTCATTTTTTCACTCACAGATGTAGGATTCCCTTGAGCATTTCTTGTAAGATCAGTCTAATGGTGATGATTTCCCTCAATTTTTGCTTGTCTGGGAAATATTTTTTTTTTCTCTCTCATTTCTGAAGAATATGTAGTATAGTATTCTTGGCTGACTTTTTTTCTTTCAATACTTTGAATATATTATCTCATTCTCTCCTGCCCTGTAATGTTTCTGTGAGAAATCTTATGTTAGTCTAATGAGGATTCCCTTATATGTGACTTGATGATTTTCTCTTGCCATTTTTAGAATTCTTTGTCTTTTACTTGAAAGTTTGACTATAATGTGCCTGTAAGAGGACATTTTGGGGTTGAATCTACTTGGGGACTTTGAGCTTCTTAGATGTCAGTGTTCATATCTCTCCCCAGACTTGGGAATTTTTTAGCTCTTATTTCATTAAATAGGTTTTCTTTGCCTTTCTCCTTCTCTTCTACTTTTGAAATTCCCATAACATGAACATTTGTTCACTTAGTAGTGTTACATACTTGTAGGCTGTCTTCACTCTTTTTCATTCTCATTTCTTTTTCTCTCTGATGGGGTAATTTCAAATAACCAGTTTTCAAGTTCAGAAATTCTTTTTTCTGCTTGATCAAGTCTGCTGTTGAAGCTATCTATTGTAATTTTTATTTGATTGCTTGAAATCTTCAGGTATGGGACTTCTATTTGGCTCTTTTTATTATTTCTAGTTCTTTGTTAAATTTCTAGTTCACATAATGAATTGTTTTCCTGATTTTGTTGAATTATCTTATCTACCTGTATCTCACTGAGTCTCCTTAAGATTATTGTTTTGAATACCTTTTCTGGCAGTTAGTTGATTTCCTCTTCACTGGGGCCTGTTAGTAGAGAGTTATTTTGTTCCTTTGGTGATATGTTTCCTCGTCTTTTTATGTTTCTTGTGTCCCCGTGTTGATGTCTATGTATCTGGTGGAACAATTGCTTCTTTCAAAATTTCTAGAGTGGCTTTCATACAGAAAGGCTTTTACCTGCAGTGGATTTTAGTGTGCCATTTGGGAAGGGTATGGTGACTGCTTCTGGATCAGTGCAGTGGTATAGTCTCTGCAGCTTCTTCAGCCATGTTCAACATTAGCAATAACTGTGGACCCGTCAGCAGCCTAGGTTGTAGAAGTTCGTGACACTGGTGGGGACAGTGTAGGCTGTTAACATCCTCAGTTCAAAGGCTGTTGGGGTTCTTCTAGTCTCATTTTCCCCATAATGGGAAGACTAGCAAGGGGGATTCCTCAGACTCTAGGGGGCTAGTTCAGCTCTAGGGAAGCAGGCAGTTGAGTTGTTCGGCCTGTAAGGTGGGATGTCTGGGCTCAGCTACTGCTCTGTTTCTCTGGGATGTAGGGCACTGCGTCAGCTCAGCCAGGGCACTGATTCCCCTTGCGGTGGTGTGTCGCTTCCGCTCAGGCCTGAGGGACGGGACTGTCCTGGGTGGCCCAGGCATTTCCCTGGATGCAGAGTGCTTCTTCAGCTTGGGTTCCAGGAGGCATGACTGCTCTGAGCAGCCAAGGTATTGTTTTCCCTGGAGGCCGTTTATGGCTTTAGCTCCAGCCTGAGGGGGCAAGAGCGGGTAGTGGAGTGGCCCCACCTTTGCTTGGCCCCACAGAGGAGGTGTAACAGCTGCCTGCAGCTTGGCTGGGGGATGTGGGGCCACTGGGCTGGGGTGGTTGGGCAGCGGCTTAGCTTCAGGGGTGAAGGGGAGCTGGGGCTGCTACCCCAGGAACAAGATACACTCCAGCAGTAGTTCCAGTTCCAAGAGGGCACCGCGAGGGCCACGGGGGCAGGCACAGTGTCGATTCCTTCTCCGGCGGGAGCACAGTGGTGTGGCCTCCAGGCAGCTCACTCCACCCTGGGCTTCGTGCCTGTGAGGACTGCAAGGGACCCCAAGGGTGAGGGCGGTGGGTGTCCACGGTGTTGGTGGGGTCTGCTGGGGTCCTCTTGATTACCTCCTCACTGAAGGGAGGTGTTTTCCTGGGTTCTAGCTGACCCTGGTTAGGGGATGGGGTGCCAGGGGCCCGGCATTTCCTTCTGTTCTTTTTGTGACTGTCATGAATTTCTGGGCTTGCCAGGGTTGCTGTCGCTCCTCTGATGTGTTCTGGAGCTCTCTGTGGGGACTTTCATTAACATTTCATGGCTCATGGCCGGGTGCGGTGACTCATGCCTGTAATCCCAGCACTTTTGGAGGCTGAGGCAGGCAGATCACCTGAGGTCAGGAGTTTGAGACCAGCCGGGCCAACATGGTGAAACCCCGTCCCTACTAACAAAAAAAAAAAAACAAAAAAACTAGCCAGGCATGGTGGCAGGCGCCTGTAATCCCAGCTACTTGGGAGGCTGAGGCATGAGAATCACTTGAACCTGGGAGGTACAGACTACAGTAAGCTGAGATTACACCATTGCACTCTGGTCTGGGCAATAAGAATGAAACACCATCTCAAAAAAACAAAAAAAACCATTTCCTGGCTTGTTTACTGTTCTGGGTCTTTGTGAGGGACACCAGTGCTGGGGGCTTCCAGTCAGCTGTTTCACTGATGTCACTACTCCCTACTTTTTTCTTTTATTCCATATTTTTACTGTACCTTTTCTATGTTTAGACACACAAATGCCACTGTGTTACACTCGCCTGCAGTATTCAGTGCAGTCACACGCTGCACGGGCGTTTAGATACACAAATGCCATCACGTTACAGTCGCCTGCGGTATTCAGTGCAGTCACACTCTGCACGGGCGTTTAGATACACAAGTGCCACCGCATTACAGTGGCCTGCAGTATTCAGTGCAGTCCCACGCTGCATGGGCGTTTAGCTACACAAATGCCACCGCGTTACAGTCGCCTGCAGTATTCAGTGCAGTCACACTCTGCACGGGCGTTTAGATACACAAATGCCACCGCGTTACAGTCGCCTGCAGTATTCAGTGCAGTCACATGCTGCACAGGCGTTTCGCTACACAAATGCCACCGCGTTACGGTTGCCTGCGGTATTCAGTGCAGTCACACGCTGCACGGGCGTCTGGCTACACAAATGCCACCGCGTTACAGTCGCCTGCAGTATTCAGTGCAGTCACACGCTGCACGGGTGTTTAGATACACAAATGCCACCCCGTTACAGTCGCCTGGAGTATTCAGTGCAGTCACACTCTGCACGGGCGTTTAGCTACACAAATGCCACGGCGTCACAGTCGCCTGCAGTATTCAGTGCAGTCACGCTCTGCACGGGCATTTAGCTACACAAATGCCACCCCGTTACAGTCGCCTGGAGTATTCAGTGCAGTCACACTCTGCACGGGCGTTTAGCTACACAAATGCCATGGCGTCACAGTCGCCTGCAGTATTCAGTGCAGTCACATGCTGCACGGGCGTTTACACAAATGCCACCGCGTTACAGTTGCCTGCAGTATTCAGTGCAGTCACACGCTGCACGGGCGTTTAGATACACAAATGCCATCGTGTTACAGGCACCTGCAGTATTCAGTGCAGTCACACGCTGCACGGGCGTTTAGATACACAAGTGGCACTGCGTTACAGTCGCCTGCGGTATTCAGTGCAGTCACACGCTGCACGGGTGTTTAGATACACAAATGCCACCACGTTACAGTGGCCTGCAGTATTCAGTGCAGTCACATGCTGCACGGGCGTTTAGATACACAAATGCCACTGTGTTCGTCGCCTGCAGTATTCAGTGCAGTCACAGACTGTACAGGTCTGCAGCCCAGGAGTGATACGCTGCACAGCATGGCCTAGGTGTCTCACAGATTCTACCGTCTTGGTGTGTGTGAGTCACCTCTGATGTTCTCACAACAGCAAAACCGCCTACCGATGCATCTCTCAGAAAGTCTCCCTGTCGTTAAGTGACGCATGACTGTAGCACTCAGCAACAAAAAGGGAGGAAGTACTGACGTGTGGACTTCAGGATAATTCTGCCAAACGAAAGATGTCAGATGAAAAAGTCTACACAGTATAATCCCGTGTATCCAGAATCCTACAGCAAACTCACCAACAGTGGCAGGAAGCAGACCTGCGCTTGCTGTAGATGCAGGACAGGTAGGAGGGAGGAAGGAGAGGACAGAGGGAGGAGAGGACAGAGGCAGGAGGGAGGGGAGGAGGGAGGGGAGAAGGGAGGTGAAAGGGAGGAGGGAGGGGAAAATGGAGGAGAAAGGGAGGAGGGAGGGGAGGAGGGATGAGAAAGGGAGGACAGAGGGAGGGGAGGAGGGAGGGGAGGGGAAGGAAGGGGGAGGAGAGAGGGGAGGGAGGGACCACGAGAGGTGGGAGGGAACGCTGAGAGCCACAGAGATGGGTTCGGGTGTCGTGTCAAAACTCAACACGCTGTGCACTTTAAACACGGGCAGCTTTAACTACATGTAATTGTGTATCAATTATGCCTCACTGAAGCTGGAGGAAAAAACAGAAGACAATGGAAAAGTCAGAGTAAAGAGAATTCACTTACGAAATGCCAACCGTTTAAAAATACTCCACACCGAACATGATGAGCCTTTTCCATTATTAATGCCTCAGGGAGAAATCAAAGTCCGAGCCGCAGCTATCCCTGCTATTCTCAAATTAGGAGAAATCACCGTGTCCTACTTGACTTCAGGGTGGGTGGCGGGCGTTCCCGCGGCAGCTGCAGCCTCGCAGTGCCTGCGTGAGCCGTGCTCCGCTGCGCCCCGGGCAGCTCCGCTCCGACCCACGCACCGCAGGTTGCTTATATACTTGTGCATGTTAGTTTGGACTTTGAGGGGTGCTTGCTTTATTTTATGTTAAGGTGCAGTTTACAGGCAGTAAAATGCATCCATTGTAACTTTACAGCACAGTAGAGCTCACACATATATGCGCTCATGTGACTGACCCCCTGAGCAAAATATGGAGCATTTCCATCTCCCAGGAAGTCCCCTCCTGCCCCTTCCCAGGCAACGGTTCCCCACCCTACCCCTACCAGACACTCACAGCCTGATTTCTAGCTTGGCGATTCGTTTTTCCTTTCTCAAGCGTCGAATAAACTGGAGTCCCTCGGTGTGTCCTGTGCTATAGAATCTGACTGTTCCACTCCATCTGAGCTTTGAGACTTGGACAGTGTTTGTGCCTACCACAGTACTCTTTCCCTTTCCCCCGGGTTGTACCCCACCCCGTGCGTGGACCCTGATTTGCGTGGACCCTGATTTGCGTATCCATTCTCCTCTTGCTAAATGCTGGCACTGTTTCCAGTTCGGGGTGTAATGCACCAGGATCCTGTGAAGACTCAAGACTTGTTGTGGACAGATGCCTCCATCTCTTGGGCACACACCTAGAAGGAGCATTGCTGGGCCATAGGGTGGACATACGTTTAGCTTTATTAGAAATTGTCAAAATGATTTTCAAAGTGATTGTACCGTTCACACTCCCACAGCAACATACAGAACTTCCTACTGCTCCCCGTCCTCGCCGGCTGACGCTTGGTATTGTCAGTCTTTTTAATGTTCGTCATCCTGGTGGGGGTGTGGTGGTATCTCACTGTGGTGTTAATTTGCATTCCTCTGATGAATGCTGATTCTGTGCACGTGTTCAATGCTTAGAACTGCCCGGATACCCTCTCCTGTGAAGCACCTGCTCAAGGCACTGTCAATGTTTAGGGCTGCCCGGATACCCCCTCCTGTGAAGCACCTGCTCAAGGCACTGTCAATGTTTAGGGCTGCCCGGATACCCCCTCCTGTGAAGCACCTGCTCAAGGCACTGTCAATGTTTAGGGCTGCCCGGATACCCCCTCCTGTGAAGCACCTGCTCAAGGCATGTCAATGTTTAGGGCTGCCCAGATACCCCCTCCTGTGAAGCACCTGTTCAAGGCACTGTCAATGTTTAGGGCTGCCCGGATACCCCCTCCTGTGAAGCACCTGCTCAAGGCACTGTCAATGCTTTAGGGCTGCCCGGATACCCCCTCCTGTGAAGCACCTGCTCAAGGCACTGTCAATGCTTTAGGGCTGCCCGGATACCCCCTCCTGTGAAGCACCTGCTCAAGGCACTGTCAATGCTTTAGGGCTGCCTGGATACCCCCTCCTGTGAAGCACCTGCTCAAGGCACTGTCAATGCTTTAGGACTGCCCGGATACCCCCTCCTGTGAAGCACCTGCTCAAGGCACAGTCAATGCTTAGGACTGCCCAGATACCCTCTCCTGTGAAGCACCTGCTCAAGGCACTGTCAATGCTTTAGGGCTGCCTGGATACCCTCTCCTGTGAAGCACCTGCTCAAGGCACTGTCAATGCTTTAGGGCTGCCCGGATACCCCCTCCTGTGAAGCACCTGCTCAAGGCACTGTCAGCGATTTAGGGCTGCCCGGATACCCCCTCCTGTGAAGCACCTGCTCAAGGCACTGTCAGCGATTTAGGACTGCCCGGATACCCCCTCCTGTGAAGCACCTGCTCAAGGCACTGTCAATGCTTTAGGACTGCCCGGATACCCCCTCTTGTGAAGCACCTGCTCAAGGCACTGTCAATGCTTAGGGCTGCCCAGATACCCTCTCCTGTGAAGCACCTGCTCAAGGCACTATCAATGCTTAGGGCTGCCCGGATACCCTCTCCTGTGAAGCACCTGCTCAAGGCACTGTCAATACCTTCCTTCGGTTGTTGCTTTCTTAATTATTTGTAATTCTTTATCTATCTGTACAGAAATCCTCTGCCATATAAATGTATTACAAACATCTTCACCAGATTCTGGCTTGCTCTTTCATTGTCTTGACGGTGTCTCTTGATGAATTTGTAGTAGATATAGTATTGTCATAGATATTCAGAGTTTTTATATTTGCTGTGTCAGTTTTGGTAGGTTGTGTTTTTCAAGGAATTTATCTCTTTCTTTCTTTTTTTTTTCTTCTTCTTCTTCTTCTTTTTTTTTTTTTTTTGACAGAGTCTCACTCTGTCACCCAGGCTGGAGGGCAATGGCACAATCTCAGCTCACTGCAACCTCTGCCTCCTGGGTTCAAGCAATTCTCTTGCCTCAGCCTCCCGAGTAGCTGGGATTACAGGCATGCGCCACCATGCTCCGCTAATTTTGAATTTTTAGTAGAGACGGGTTTTCACCATGTTGGCCAGGCTGGTCTTGAACTCCTGACCGCATGATCTTCCCGCTTCGGGCAGATCTCCCAAAGTGCTGGGATTACAGGTGTGAGACACCGCGCCTGGCCAAATGTGTCTATTCCATCTTGCATGAAATTGCTTTTAATTTTTATAAAGTCCAATTTGTCAGTGTTTAATTGTACATCGGTGGGATTTTTCAGACCTGCCCAAGAAGTCCTCACCAGTGCCTGGTCCAGAGGCATGTCCTGTGGTTTCCTGCAGAAGTGTCATCGTGTTTGTGCCTCCTTGTGCCCCATCCCCTTTGGATCTATGACCTGCTTCAAATTAGCTTTCATGTGTAGCACAAAAGAAGGGCCAACGTCCCTTATTTTCCCTATTGACACCCAGTTATTGCAGCAGCACTGAGTGAAAATGCTTCCTCTCTCCAGGCAGGTGGCCGAGTGCCGGGGGGTCTTCACTATGAAGTTCTGACGTTAACTGAGGGTTTTCCATGGATATCCTTCACCAGACTGGGGAACCTCCTGCTTCCAGTTTGTTGACAGTTTTTATTGTTAACCAATTGAATTTTATAAAATGTTTTTTCTGAATCCATTGAGTTGATCCTATGGTTTTTGTTCTTTATTTTACCAATGACGTTGATTGATTTTTGAATGTCAAAACAATCTTGCATTTCTGAGATAGATTTTCTTGGTCTTGGCCTTTTAATTTTAATTTAATTTATTTATTTGTCTTCGAGACAGAGTCTTGCTCTGTCACTCAGGCTGGAGTGCAATGGCAAGATCATGGCTTACTGCAGCCTTGAACTCCCAGGTTCAAGCGATCTTCCCACTCATCCTCCCGAGTAGCTGGGACTGCAGGTACGTGCCACCACACCTGGCTAAATTGTAAACATTTTTGTAGAGATGGGATCTTGCTGTGTTGCCTAGGCTGGTCTTGAACTCCTGGGCTCAAGCAATCCTGCCTTGGACTCCCAAAGTGTTGGGACGACAGGTGTGAGCCACCGCGCCCGGCTACCTTTTCATATGTCACTGAGTCTGATTTGCTGGAACCGGGTTTAGGATTTCCGATCACGGTGCTTTCTGTGGGAACACGGGCAACACTGCATGCATTCTTCATCCTTAAGGGTTTGCTGCAGCTCATCGGTGACTTCTCAGGGCCAGGAGTTTTCTCTGTGGAATCTGTTTAATTACAGATTAAATTTCTGTAATGGATATAGTATGGCAGTAGCTATGTCAGAGTTTTTATATCTGTGTGTCAATTTTGATAGGTTATGCTTTTCAAAGAATTTGCGCTTTCATCTGGCATGAAATTGCTCATGAGAGCCTCGTCTTAACCTTCTGGTGCCCGTCAGACCCGCCGGGTGTCTGCACCCCCCTCTCCTGAGAAAGCAGCCGCCATTGCTCATTTTTCCCCTCTGTGTTTTCTTTATCAATTTTATTGATCATTTCAGAGAACTGGGTTTCAGTGTTGTTGGCTTTCTCCATTGCACGTCTGCTCTCTCTCACTGATGTCCACGTTTTGCTTTTCCCTTCCGTCTGCTCTCTTTGGGTTTAGTTTCTCCATCCAGCTTTGGCTCCTCGTGATGGTCCACTGCTCACCTCGTCCCTCTGTCCATCTGCCGGCCTCACTGCCTCTTCACTCCAAAAACGATACGAGATCGCCACAGTGTTCTCCTGAGAGTCGCAGGCTCTTGTGTAGAGCTGGGGAGAAGCAGCTGGTGTTAGTGAGCGAGCTCGTGCTGGAATGGCAAGTACGTCACTGTGCAGCACTGGGGAGAGCAGCTCCTGGGCAGCGGGCCCAAGATGTGCATCCCTGTCAGGAGCAGCCTCGGCGCCAGGACGACGCATTGCCCTTCTGAGCAGGAAGGTAGAGCGGCCGTCTGATGCCCTGAGGTTGCCGTTTCAGGTGACTGGGGGTGTGGGGGAATCTGAGGCTTACAGAGCGTAGGAAGATGACATTCGAGTTCTTCTCAGACAGTTATTAGCTGGGGACATTTCACACTAGGAGCATCGGACTTTAAATAAACCTGGAAGTGACTCACCCTCAGTCTGGCAGAGGCTGCCTCCTAAAACCTCCTAGGGCAAAAATGAGATGTAAGTCAGAAGTCTTCGGAATCCCAGGAAGCTTTGGGGTTTGGGTGCATGGCTTGGTTTTTAGGGAGTGGTGCTGTGCTTCTGTCCCAGACCCCTGGGCTCTCCCAGAAGGGCTCCAAGGAAGAGCAGAGAGAAGGCACTTTCTTCCTCACTCATTCGCACAGATTCCCTCGGCACCAGCCCAAGACCACTTTCTATGGGATGTTGGAGAAGAAGACACCAGGTCCAGCTGCAGGGCCTGCATGTCCGTTAGGATCTAGAGTGAGACCAGGTCCAGCTGGGGGCCTGCGTGTCTGTTAGGATCTAGAGTGAGACCGGTCCAGCTGGGTGGTCTGTGTGTCTGTTAGGATCTAGAGTGAGACCAGGTCCAGCTGGGGGGCCCGTGTCCGTTAGGATCTAGAGTAAGACCAGGTCCAGCTGGGGGGCCCGTGTGTCTGTTGGGATCTAGAGTGAGACCAGATCTAGCTGGGTGGCCTGCGTGTCCGTTGGGATCTAGAGTGAGACCAGGTCCAGCTGGGGGCCTGAGTGTCTGTTAGGATCTAGAGTGAGACCGGTCCAGCTGGGTGGTCTGTGTGTCTGTTAGGATCTAGAGTGAGACCAGGTCCAGCTGGGGGGCCCGTGTCCGTTAGGATCTAGAGTAAGACCAGGTCCAGCTGGGGGGCCCGTGTGTCTGTTGGGATCTAGAGTGAGACCAGATCTAGCTGGGTGGCCTGCGTGTCCGTTGGGATCTAGAGTGAGACCAGGTCCAGCTGGGGGGCCTGCGTGTCTGTTAGGATCTAGAGTGAGACCAGGTCCAACTGGGGGGCCTGCGTGTCTGTTAGGATCTACAGAGTGAGAGGACCAGAGCTCCTCCTGTGTGGACATGTTTACTCTCCACCCGTGAGGAAGGAAGAACCCCAGGAACACTCCACATCAGCCTGGCAGGCCGAGTGTAGGAGGGTGCCACGTCACACAAGGTGCACACCATGCCTGCTGAGATGGGCAGACCCCGCTGGGCAGAGGCCTGGCCAGCACCCCCACCTGGGGCTTCCCTTTCAACTCAGTTTGAAGTCCTGCAGTTTCCCTGGGGCTGGGCCAGGATATCTATGGGTCAGTCAGCGTAACTGGTACTGTACATTATGCATGTAACAGGCAAGTGCTTTAGGTTAGTGGGGTAAAGTATGCAAGAGACAAAGACTAGAAACTGTGACAGAGAGAAAGGGCACCAGCCACAGCAGGAGGTTTCACATGTGGGATTTGAGTCCTGGAAGGGAAGGAATGAGAGTATGAGCAGAAGACATATTTAAAGAGGTAACGACTGATGATTATGTAAAACTGATACCAAACCCGAGATTCCAGAAGCCCCACACACACCACGCAGGATAAACTAAAAGGAAACGTTTCCTCACCCTCACCTCGAGGGAATATGTGGAAAAAATGAAAGTGAAGCAAAGGACAGTTGAGTGAGGCATTGAGTCTTCTGGCCAAATGCCCATCCGCAGAGACCAGCTGAGAGCCAGACCCACCCAGACACGTGTTGTTTGAAACCTCTGAGTTGAGGGGTGGTTCATTATCCAGCAAAAGCCGACTGATAAAATCCCTGTTTCATCCCAGCATCCAAAGTGAAAGACAAAACAAAATTTTCTTTTGAGACGGAGTCTTGCTGTGTCACCCAGGCTGGAGTGCAGTGGCGTGATCTGGGCTCACTGCAAGCTCCACCTCCCGGGTTCATGCCATTCTCCTGCCTCAGCCTCCTCAGTAGCTGGGACTACAGGCGCCCGCCACCACGCCCGGCTAATTTTTTGTATTTTTAGTAGAGGCGGGTTTTCACCATGTTAGCCAGGATGGTCTCGATCTCCTGACTTTGTGATCTGCCTGCCTCAGCCTCCCAAAGTGCTGGGATTACAGGCGTGAGCCACCGTGCCCAGATGACAAAACAAAATTTTCTAAGAAAATATAGTTATGACCTTGAGATACACAAACGACACCAAACATAAAGGCAAAGATTGATAAACTGGTAAAGTTAGAATTCAGACCTTTTGTTGTCTAGTGGATGCCATTAAGAAAGTAAACAGGGGCCGGGCGTGGTGGCTCACGCCTGTAATCCCAGCACTTTGGGAGGCCGAGGCAGGTGGATCACCTGAGGTTAGGAGTTCGAGACCAGCCTGGCCAACATGGTGAAACCCCGTCTCTACTAAAATACAAACATTAGCCGGGTGTCTTGGTGGATGCCTATAATCCCAGCTACTTGGGAGGCTGAGGCACAAAAATCACTTGAACCCGGGAGGCGGAGGCTGCAGTGAGCCCAGATCATGCCACTGCACGCCAGCCTGGGCAACAAAGCGAGACTTTATCTCAAAAATATTAAAAAAAAAGAAAAGAAAAGAAAAGAAAAGAAAGTGAACAGACACACCACGGAGTGCAGGGTGGTGTTTGCAGTACGTGCAGCCGTGGAGGTCTTACAGAAGTCCTGCAAATCCAGAAGGGAAACAGCACAGTGGGAAAGGGGACAGACACATCCAACTTCACCAAAGAGGACATTCAAATGGGTGTTAAAAAGTCAGAGGATGAAAAGCCTCAGGACCCACCAAGGAAACACAGGTTAAATCTCAGTCAGATGCCACCACGCGGCAGAATGGCTAAACTATGACATTGTCGATGACCATGTGGAGTGACAAGGACCCCAGCAGACGGCGGGCGGGAATGTGAACTGGCTCTGCCTCCTTGGAGGGCTGCCTGGCCCCCCGTCGTTAAAGCCAAGCACGTCCACCAGTGCCGATCCAGCAATTCATGTCCTAGGTCCATACCATAGACAGGTGCACACGTGTGTGCTCAGACGTGGGAAAACGGGGAACAGCCACAGGCTCACCAGCAGAGGGGAGATAAATAAATAGAGATGACACAGTAAGCAGGCGTGGGAACGAGCAGGCTGCAGCTGCACTCGGTGACGGTGACGCAGGTAACCACTGCGTGGGGAGCAGAGGAAACGACGCGTGGGAAACTCACCCAGATGAAAAACAGAGCAGCCCCGGGGGGGCAGGGCGGGGCGCCAGGAGGGCTCGTTGATGTCCAGAGTTCTGCTTCTCTGCCAGGCGTTGTGGTAACTTGCTAGCCATCCCCTTCTGCTCTGTGCACTTCTCTGTATGTAACACTGTAACGAAAGTTAAAGAATAAAGAGTGCAGACAGGCCGGCCGCGGTGGCTCACGCCTGTAATCCCAGCACTTTGGAAGGCCGAGGCGGGCGGATCACGAGGTCAGGAGATCAAGACCATCCTGGCTAACACGGTGAAACCCCGTCTCTACTAAAAATACAAAAAATTAGCTGGGCGTGGTTGCAGGCACCTGTCGTCCCAGCTACTCGGGAGGCTGAGGCAGGAGAATGGCGTGAACCCGGGAGGCGGAGCTTGCAGTGAGCCGAGATCGCACCACTGCACTCCGGCCTGGGGGACAGAGCGAGAGTCTGTCTCAAAAAAAAAAAAAAATGCAGACAAAGACAGCGCCACCACCACCTCTACGGCTGCAGACCTTCCACGGATTTGCGAAAGCCATGGAGCTTCATGGAACACCACAGAGCCTCCCCCAGTCACCCCACTCCTGCACTGTCCCGAAATGAGGACAATGACATAACAGAGCCTCTCCCCCAGTCACCCCACTCCTGCACTGTCCCGAAATGAGGACAATGCGTGTATTCCAAAGTTACTCATACTAACGGGCACCACTGCAGAACACACGTGTCTGGCATTTCTCATGACACGGTCTGCACATCCCCCACCTCCCAGCAGCCCCAGTCGGCAGACCCCGTCCCCGCTGGCCTCCCCAGTCCCTTCTGCCCCTCAGGACTTGCACTGCCGAGTCTGTCCCAGGCCAGGCGGAGGGTGGTGAGGACCACATGGCAGCTGTGCCCCAGCCAACAGCTGCCTCGTCCTGGATAAGCTGGCTGCCCTGCGCATACTGACCGTATGCACCACAGGCTGCCCAGGAGCCCGCGTCTGCCTCACCCACCCAGAGGAGCCAAGTCTCTGCTGAAAATGCCCCCTCGTCACCTTTCCCACACAGGATCCCGGTTTCCCACCAGCCCCTCCCCGCCGGGCTCCCGGCCGAGATCCACGCCTACCCACAGTTTTCTGTGCATGCCAGGTCACCTTAAAGGATGCTGAGTGTCACGAGGCTTCAAAGAAGCTGAATATTTAAACTATATTTACATCACATTTTTAAATGGTTAAGACGTTATTAAAGTTTTGGTATTTAGAATGAGTTTTGGTTTCTGTAAGTTATCTACATGGGTGCAAAATGCCTTGGGCAGAGGTAACCAGACCCATGTCCCACGAGGCATCATCCTGGCTGTGTGGTCTTGGGCAGGTCACTCCCTCCTGATGTCTAGTGGCCCGGGGGTCTCTGCCCTTTCCCATCAGGGCCTGCAGACATGGCTAGTGAGGGTGGGTCACGGGGGGTGGGTTCCTCCAGGAAGGTGGCTGCTGGGGACATGGAGCTCTGGACCACCATTGGTGTTCCTAGAATCATTGCTCCATCAGCTCAGCGGACCAGGGGGCGGACATGCACACACATCCTCTGCACAGGGCATCAGCCCAGGGTGGGCTCCCCAGCAGGGTCTGCACGCACTCCACTCCCCGCTGCAGCCCCAGGGCCAGGACGTGGCTTTGTCCTCCTGTGGATTCTGTGCTCATCTGGGGCACCCCATATGGATGAGAGATGAGGGCACTTAATGAGGCCTCACAGCAGTGCAGAGAATGCTGTGAGAACCAGCCTTGGTGACCCTGACCCATGGGAAGGAGCCGCAGGGTCTGCCCCACTCTTACTCCTCACCCTCCCACAAGCAGAAGCCTGCAGCGATGGCAGAGGCGGTGCTTCTGCAGGCCCTGGGGCAGCCACTCCCTCTGCCCGGGCCTCTCCTCCTTTCTCCCTGTTCCCCTGCTCTGCTCTGCCTCTCTGCTTCCCCGCTTTTCTTCACTCTTCTCCACAAGGTTTTTTCAAGAGCCTGCTGGACACCTGGCGCTGTGGTTTAACCAGAGCCACAGAGGTGTGTGCTGGAGATGGGAAAGTGGAGGAGGAAGCTTTTGGACAGGAAGGTTGCCCCGGGCCAGCTCCCTCTGCTGCTCAGCCCGGCTGCTCGCTGGACAGCCAGCAGCCAGCGCTCAGGTCTGCTTAAAGCACCTTCCACAGCCTGCAATGCCATTTGGTTCTCACAGTCACCTTGAGACCAAGGCAGGACGTGGATGTCCTTGTCTTGCATGTAGAGAGAGAAACGGAGGCCCAGAGACAGTGGGTGCTGAGCGAGGCAGCTGGAGGTGCTCATGTAGGGGAGTGTCCACCCAGGCAAACCTGAACCCTGACTTGGGAGAGTGTGCGTGCCTGGGAGGAGAAGGACAAGGAGTTTTGAGGTCCCACTCCTGGACTTGGGATATCACTGACCCAGGGATGTCTATAACTCTTAACAAAAACAGTGCAATTATACCCACAAGGTAAGAATTATCTTATGTAGGCCACCGAGCAGACTCAAGTTTCAACCCCGAGGTGGTGTCCGGGCCATCCTGAGGGCTCAGCAGCCTCATCTGAACAGCCTGGCCTTCCTTCTGTAACTTCTCCCAGAAGCAGGTCACTCGGAGGGGGACAGATTTCCCATCACTCAGGAAATAAATGTCTTTGCTTTGTAAAATCACTCTCAAGCAAAGTATGTGCTGGGAGCTTAAAGAGAAAAAATAAGCTTAAGCCAAATACTTTGGTTTCCAGTGACAGGCAGCAGGAAGTACAATGCCCTGCGTCTCGAGGACCAAGGCTTTAATCCGAAGCCTCCCCGCACGGAGATAAAAACTCTCAGGAAGGATCAGTCACTTCATCCTCGTCAGAATCTTCCCCAGATTTTTCTCCCTTGAACATTTTAATGCCCAGCTTTGTCCAAGATGAGTGTCGTTTGTCACGGAAAGTGATGCAACGTGGCAGGGTGCCAGGGCGCCGGGGGTTACTGGCTCTGCGAGGAGTCCTGGGGGCCTCACATCCTGGGAAGGGCGTCACAGGACATTACAGGGTGCAGCTGTAACACTGAGCTGATAATCCAAGGGCTTATGGGGACCTGTCCTAGCTTTGGACTGATTAAAATTCTGCTTTTAAAGTGCTTTAAAGGAGCAGGGGCATCTGGGGGTGTGTGGCTTATTTTGCTGTTTCTTTTGCTTGTAAGTAAAATGTGGTAATGTTCCTGGAACAGTGCTCTCAGCAAGGTGATCAGGTGACCAAGGTGACCAGATGGCTGGGAGTGGGCAGGGGTCCGGGGATGGGAGCTGGGTAGCCTCCTCTCCTTGGAAACCAAGGTCACCAGCCTCACAGATGCCACTATCCAATTTCCCTTCAGTTCTTGGGGACTGTAAGCCGTGTGGACGGGACCCCGCATTACACATCCTTGTCTTCCCAGGGCTCGGTGCCTGGGAGGTGCTTCAGGGTCTTTGCTGAGTCAGTGAGAGGTAACATCCCTTCTCATTCCCTCAAGCCCCCTCACAGGCTCTCCGTGGACCAAGGGCTTGTGAACTGGGAAGCAGGGTACCCATGTAGTTTTGGTGTTTCTCTTCCCAGGCAGGGCCCCAGGCACAAAAGCTGCCCCTGGGCTGGCAGCAGAGGCTGCAGCATTGACCAGCATTGTAGTGACTCAGCAAAGCTACTTGTTTCAGTTACCAGGATTGGGTAACCAGCAGCCCAACACCTAGTGGCTTAGAGCAATGGCAATGGTGTGTATTCTTGTCTGTGTTGGTTCTGTGTTGGCAGGGCTCAGCTGGCCGGCTCTTGTGTGCACTGAATGGTGCTGGGGAACCTCGGAGGCTTGTTCACCTGTGCCTGGGACTGGAACTCTAACTGCCCAGTGGGTTCACCTTGCCCACTGCCTAGACAGAGCTGATTTATCAAGACAGGGGAATTCCAATGGAGAAAGAGTAACACACAGAGCTGACTGTGCAGGAGACCCGAGATTCATTATTGCTCAAATCTGTCTCCCCGAGCATTCAGGGATCGGAGTTTTTAAAGATAATTTGGCAAGTAGGGGCTTATGAAGAGAAAAGTGCTGATTGGTCAGGCTGGAGATGGAATCATAGGGGGTCAAAGTGAGTTTTTCTTGCTGTCTTCTGTTTCTGGGTGTGATGGCAGAACTGGCTGATCCAGATGACCGGTCGGGTAGTGTCAGCTGATCCATCAAGTGCAGGGTCTGCAGAATACCTCATGCACTGATCTTAGGTTTTACGATAGTGATGTTATCCCCAGGATCAATGTGGGGAGGTTCAGACTCTTGCAGCCAGAGGCTGCATGTCCCCCTAAACCATAATTTCTAATCTTGTAGCTAATTTGTTAGTCCTGCAAAGGCAGACTGGTCCCAAGGCAAGAAGGGGGTCCTCTCAGGAAAGGGCTATTATCAATTTTGTTTCAGAGTCAAACCATAAACTAAATTCCTTCCCTAGGTTAGCTCAGCCTACACCCAGGAATGAACAAGAGCAGCTTAAGGACTAGAAGCAAGATGCAGTTGGTGGGGTCTGACCTCTTTCACTGTCATCATTTCCTCAGTTATAATTTTTGCAAAGGCGGTTTTAGAACAACCAGGTCCTGTGGAGCCCCATCTACCTCCACTAGGTCTCCAGCCTGGCTCACTTCAGGCTAGTGGATGTTTTACATGGCAGCTCGGGGCTCCAGAGGGATTAGCCCCTGAGAGACAGAGCCAGGAAAAAGCTGAATTGTGTTTTCTAGCCTGACCTCAGAAGTCACAGGGCATCACCCACTCCATCTTCTGAATTGAAACGGCCCACAAGTCCAGTCAGGGTCAAGGGGAGCGGACACAGGCCTTGCCTCTTCGTGGGCCAGTAGCAAGTTCTGGAAGGATGTATGGGCAGGACATCTATGCCAGGAAACACTGCATTTTTGGAAAATACGAGCTGCCACGTTCCTCTAATGCCTCCATGCCTCATTTTCCTCATCTCTGCCATTGGGAGAATGATGAATACTGATTTGTAGGTCAGACAGTTGAACAGTGGCAAGTTCATACAGTTCAACCTCATCAGAATTGCAGCCTTTATATAGCAATTGCCATGTGCTGGGCACTAATGATTTATGTCTGTTTGCTCATCCTCTGACCAGCCCCAGAGAGGGACTGTTATTATCCGTGTTTTCCAGTTGGGGGCCCGGGCAGGGCTTTACTTTGTACGTTCATTGTGGGAATGAATGAACAAAAACAGCTTCTGGATGAAACTCCTGGCCGACTGCACCTTCTTCTCTGCTGCTTCCGATTTCTCCTCGGCATTTTATGTATTTTTTAGCTCTTTAAATTTTTTTTTTCCTAATTCTTCAGCTTGATGAGTGGTCTTTAAACTTTTTTTGGTCATCCAGCTCATCAGTAAAAAGCATCTGAGCAAATTTCCCCAAATATATGTAATCCAATTAAAAATACACTAAAAACATGCACAAACATGAGAAAGGATGAGATAAAATGAAATAAACAATATTTCCAAATGTTTCACTTATTATTAAAAACATTGTGTACTCAATTTAACATTTTACTAATGTAAAATTAATAATCATAATTCTATTTAGTGAATTAATGTCGGCTTCCTTAAATGCCTTGATTTAGCACGCTGTGAAACTGCGATTTCAAGAGTCTGGTCTAACACTAGCTTGTTTGAATAGTTGGCTATTATAGCTAAAAAGAACACCTCAAAAATTTGCAAATTCAAATTAAAAAGTGGATTGTTGGCTGCATGTACAGAATCATAATATTCTTGGTTTCACCCCATCTATCAATTATGCACCAGCTTTTGGTGAAATTCAGCTGGTAAATTTCCGTCTTCCCTGATACCAATCCCCGTTCTTGCAAACTAATTGGAAAGAGTTGCATTCATATATTTTTAACAAATGGCTTCAAGCCTCACTGAAACCTTTGATTTAGAATACTTTTTTTTAACAGGTTAGAGAAAACATTTCTATATTTTAAGGATGAGCAAATATGAGAGTTGTTACAGGTGACAAGTTTAACAGGTTTTGGCAAGAAGGTCACATGACATTCGGAAACCGTTCCAAATGTCTGCTTCCCCAGCAGCCTCTCCCAGCACCTGCCTCTAAGGGCAGCTACTTTTTCAGTGATTGCTAAAAACTTCGTTTTTACCTGGAAGGGAGAGAGATTATGTCAGCTCTTTTGCTTTTTGTTAAGACTGCCAGCAGCGCCCCGATCTCAGGCCTGCCTGGAGTGTGAGGACAGTGCCTGTGCGGGCATCCACAGGCTGGAGAGCCAGCAGGGTCAATGCCTTCTCTTCCACGTGTGGCGTGAGCTGCTTGTCTCCAGGCTGTGGGGCTGTGTGTGTGTGTCTCTTAAAGCCACTTATCCTACCCAAAGGATTATAAATCATGCTGCTATAAAGACACATGCACACGTATGTTTATTGCAGCATTATTCACAATAGCAAAGACTTGGAACCAACCCAAATGTTCATCAATGATAGACTGGATTAAGCAAATGTGGCACATATACACCATGGAATACTATGCAGCCATAAAAAAGGATGAGTTCATGTCCTTTGTAGGGACATGGATGAAGCTGGAAACCATCATTCTGAACAAACTATCACAAGGACAGAAAATCAAACACTGCATGTTCTCACTCATAGGTGGGAATTGAACAATGAGATCACTTGGACACAGGGTGGGGAACATTACACACCAGGGCCTGTTGTGGGGTTGGGGGAGGGGGGAGGGATAGCATTAGGAGATATACCTAACGTAAATGACAAGTTAATGGGTGCAGCACACCAACATGGCACACATATACATATGTAACAAACCTGCACATTGTGCACATGTACTCCGGAACTTAACTTAAAAAAAAAAGCCACTTATCCACCTGGAGGGGGATAGTTACTGAAAGCAGAGTGAGACGTGTGTGCACCCATGCCATCAGGCTCATGTAACCTGGATCTGAGGGATTCCGCCCAGAGCCTGTCTGGTCTGACCTGCCTCTCCCACAGAAGGACAGGAAATCTGTGGGGCCAACGGGGTGTCTCCACCTGGATCCCACACTCCTGCCCTGGGGAACCACATCCTGGGTCCCCGAAGCCTGGAACTTCCTGACAAACAATCTAGGAGA